>NC_000013.11:84368891-84521731 GCF_000001405.40 Homo sapiens
CATGGGGGATAAGGAAAGAATAAGAAACTTCACAAATTGCTAGAAACTAAGGAGAAATTAGAACTAAATGTAACATGGGCTTCTGAATGGGATCCTGGAACATTAGAAAGGTCATTGGTGGACAAACTGGTAAAAATCAAATAAACTCGTCATTGAGTTAATAAGTTAATTTCCTGGTCTTTATCATTGCATCATGATTGTGAATATTTTTAACATTAGGAGAAGATGGGTGAAGAGTGTATATGAACTCTCAGTATTATTTTTTGCAAATATTCTATATGTTTAAAATTACTTCAAAATAAAATGTTTAAAAACTACTTTATGAATGCAATTTGTTTATATTGGTAATAGTTTTTTGAGTTTTCGTCAAAATATTATAAATTCAAATGCACATATTCCTACTATGTCAAAATAGTGGCATATAACTTTGTTTCTTCCATTTGTAATCTATTCAGAAGAAAAGCATTGAGATAAAACAATGCTTTGCAAAATTAAGAAATAGTTATTTTAGATTTTGTCATGTTTCTTATCTAATTTCTATTTAAAAATAGAAATTACATTGCTTAAAATTAATATAAATGAGGAATTATAAAACTATTCAGAGCATTTTGGGAGGAGTTATTCCTAATAAGTAAATATTTCCCATCTTATGTACATTTCTGTTATCGCTTTTCTTTTTTATTTTTTGAGTCGGAGTCTCGCTCTGTCGCCCAGGCTGGAGTGCAGTGGCGTCATCTCAGCTCGCTGCAAGCTCCGCCTCCCGGGTTCACGCCATTGTCCTGCCTCAGCCTCCTGATTAGCTGGGACTACAGGCGCCCGCCATCACGCCCGGCTAATTTTTTGTATTTTTAGTACAGACGGGGTTTCACCGTGTTAACCAGGATGGTCTCGATCTGCTCACCTCGTGATCCACCCACCTCGGCCTCCCAAAGTGCTGGGATTACAGGCGTGAGCCACCACGCCCGGCAATCCCTTTTCTTGTGTATGACATTATACTAGCAGCATAAGACTCTACTTGGCATGTCTTATTGTTATTTATTAAACTAATAAGTATGTCATTCAGTATACACTAACCTTGTGCTAACATCTGTTTGTGCATAAATAGCTATTTTTCCAACAAGATAAATGACCAAAACCTTCATATTATAAGCAGAAATAATTATCCACACTACAGAAAATGAGGCCTAATTAGAATCTTAAAACTATAGCAATTTGGCAAGCTTTTTAGGTATGGTAACTGTAAGAAGAAACTACCAAACCTACTAGGTGTTTATTAAAATGCAGTATTGCTAATTCTGCTTGGCAGATTCCTTCACAGATGGTACATGTTTAGCTACATTTCTGCAATTAATTGTCCCAAGACAGATGTGCTGAAAAATAATTGTATTCTCTTATGATTTGCTGTTATATTTGTGCAGACTTATCTGAGACACATAAGCTAAAATAATCCTTTTTGACCATACACTTTAGTCAGCTGACTAGTATTACTGCCATAATTCTAAAAATTCCAAAGTTTAAGGAATAGATGAAAACAGAAAGTTACTCATGCCTATAAGGAAATGAATATTACAGCTAGATTCCTTAAATTCCCAAATTAAAATAAAATGTTTAAAAATTAATGATTTAGGTACAGATGTAAAATCACTATCATTTTCACTGCCATTTATCCTCATTACTATCTACAAAAAAATGAAATCACAATTATTCCCTAAATTAGTCCTCTGTTCTTTTTGCATATTTTAATCAATATACTGACCTACCTCTTTTTCTTAATAATTTTAGGAAAATAAACTGAAAGCTACTGTCAAAAAAGTTTAACCATCTGCTAAAGGAGATTTTACCCTGTCACTTGGGCAGATGTTCAGCAATGGAATTATGCCAGCATAATTTATATATCATGTGAATTTACATGTGGATGTAGAGGAAAAATTACTTTTATATATATATATATATATATATATATATATATATAAAATCTCCATTAAGTAAAAATTGATATTACTTTTTTAAAAAATCTTTCTTTCTCTTTATGCTCTGCCCTCCTATCCCCATGATGGAAGGCAGAATATGTTGGTATTGCCTGTGTACTTAAATCTAGAGTCAGATGGTATAAAAGAATAATTTCTACAATTTTTTTTCACTTTATAAGATACAAAGATGTTTCCCCACAGAAAGACAAAAGGAAAAAGAGAAAAATAGTAAACTAGGACACTTAGCTATATTTATTGAACAGTGTGCTAGACTACAATTCTATTCTATTGGGAATTATTTGATTTTACCTCCTCTCACACAAAGTGAGGATTAATTGTGTTTGCCGAAGAAGACTAAAGCTGGTGCCACCATTTTGGGGCAGGGGGTTTTGATGTGTCTAGCTTATTCTCTTTTGTGAGATACCTGAAGGGTACACTATTTTTGGAAAAAAAAAAGTTTGAGGTTGGGCATGATGGCTAACGCCTGTAATTCCAGCAATTTGGGAGGCCGAGGCGGGTGGATCACCTGAGGCCAGGAGTTCGAGACCAGCCTGACCAATATGGTGAAACTCCTTCTCTACCACAATTATTAAAATTAGCTAGGCATGGTGGTGTACACGTGTAGTCCCAGCTATTCGGGAGGCTGAGACAGGAGAATCACTTGAACCTGGGAGGCGGAGGTTGCAGTGAGCTGAGATTGCACGACTGCACTGCAGCCCAGGTGACAGAGCGAGACTCCGTCTCAAAAAAAAAAAAAAAAAAGTTTGAAATTCCTTTGTTTTATGACCAAAACACAAGCAATCACCATATTTTCCCTGTGTACTATACTCATAGAAAACAAATTGACTCTCTAAGCCCTGTGTGCCTTCAGAATCAAAAACAGTAAAATTCTACTGTTTGAATTTGTTGGTCAGAGTACCACAATTTCACTCCAAATGCCTTGGAAATTGATTGGAGAATACGTATAGACACGTGAGTCTACATTTACGGAATTTTATGTTTGAGCAGCTTGTAGAGATTATTTTATCTCATTTGCATATTTCTAATAAAATTTAGACTATATTCTTGATTGCATACTTTCTTTAAATCATGATGAAGAAGTCTTTCTATTTTTCTGCAATATCTTTTATTTCATTTATGCCATATCTAAGTCTAAAATGGAGACAAATTTTGTTCAGTCATCCCAGTGGAATTCAGGCTGTCCCTTTACAGCTTCCTAGTTCATTAAAATTGGCAAACTAGAAAGCATAACTAGGGATCACTTTTTCAATTTCTAAAGACTTTATATATTTTTCTAAAAAGTCAAGGAGGTACTTTAATGTTTTGACTATTATGAAAAGTGTTGAGAAGGAGTCTAGTCTGTTTCACTTGTTCAATGATGTTTCATCTGTGATCCCATTAACTTGGCTCCTTTATGACCCTCTTAATATTTAATATATTTTCTATTAGTAGTGATGGCTCAAGCTGAATGGTATAAAACAAGATGTTATCATGGAAAGTACTCGAAGTTTCAAATATTTCCTGTTTTTGTTCGTTCCAGATTAGTCCACTTACTGATGAAATTAGTAACCCCTAAAATCTATAAAACAATAATTTATAGTTGAGTTTATGGACATTTATTCCAAGAAAATGTCACCTTTCTTGTCAGTCCCATTTTATGAATTGCCCTTTACCACCATGAAAATGTGTTCACAAATGAAATGCACCAAATTTAAATATGGCCTGTATGTAGTCATTGGAAATCCAAGGAGGAATATTTCAAACATGTTTGGTGCAAACTAACCAGAAATATTTGGTAGTTAAAAAGTTTTATTGCCACTAAAATAGAAAATATTATCAGTTTGGACAACATTTCAAACAAAGAAATGTTAGAGATAATGGAATTACTTAAGCTAGAGAATAGAAAATTAAGAAGATATGTTATAATTATTTTTAAATATTTGAAAGACTGCTTTATCAGTCAAGTTAGATAAAGTTAAAATGCATAAAATCTACTTAAACAAGCTCAGTATCTTAAAAAACAGAAACAACAGGCCAGGCACGGTGGCTCATGCCTATAATCCCAGCACTTGGGAGGCCGAGGCAGGAGGATCACATGAGGTTAGGAGTTCCAGACCAGCCTGGTTATCGTGGTGAAACCCCGTCTCTACTAAAAGTACAAAAATTAGCTGGGCATGGTGGCGGGCGCCTGTAGTCCCAGCTACTCAGGAAGCAGAAGCAGGAGAATCGCTTGAATCCGGGAGGCAGAGGTTGCGGTGAGCTGAGATGGCGCCACTGTACTCCAGCCTGGGCGACAGAGCGAGACTGTCTCAAAAACAAAAACAAAAACCAGAAACAATTTATTTTTAATGCAATCAGCCAAAATCAGTAAGTAGCAGCTCTCTCTACAGTGTACTCTATCAAGAACTGAAGATGATGGCGCCTCTACCATGTGTTATGTGGCTTATCATTAGTTCAGAATCATGGACGACAAATAGAGAACATGACAAGTCATGCACCAACTATTCAAGGTATCTGCTCAGGTGCAACATAGCTTATGCCATTTCATGTTTCATTGCACAAAGAAAGTAACAATACCATATTTCACTTAAAGGAAGTAGGGAATTGCACTTCTACTATGTAACCAGAAAGGAAAGACGTGAAAATATTGAAAAATGGCACTGCCTACCCAAACTGTCATGCAGAAAATTGATGCCCACAACCTTCCCTGCATGAATGACAAGTTGTTGATGTACGTGTGGGTATAACACTCCTAAAAGTATACACAGATTGTTACAACTTCCCCCTGCCCCAATGACATAGATGAGTCTTTTGTAATACAAATGCCCTGAAATGCTAGCTGTTATGGAGTCAATGCCTCTCTTGAGATGGCATAGATGTTAAGTAGGTGCAAATTTAGAAGGATGGTGTTGAGTTCTCTAATAATTCTCGAAAGATTAAGATGTAACGGTATGCTATAAATTCGAGACTAAGTACTCCCCCCCAATGGAAAAACTTAGCATGGCTTATTTATTGTACTTTAAAGCGGATTTTGGAACAATCATGCAATATACATTTAAAAATATCTCGTTTTGATGATAGTTCTCTCTGTCTATAATGTAAGTAGCACATTTGTGCATACCTTGGAGGCCAATGGGAAAGATTTTCAAAACTGTGGACTTTGCCTAGCATAACTGGAGCCCTTCATTCTATGCCTTTCTTGTAGTTTATCTCTTAGTAGTTAATGAGCAGATCCGTGGTTAGACTGCCTCTGTTCATATCTTGGCCTGGACTCTTAAGAAATTTTTAAACCCAGAAAATTTTAAAACCCAGAAAAATTACTTAATCCTTCTAAATTTTAGACTTTCTCTAAAATAAAGAATATTTCCTTATTTAAATATTCTTTGTATACAAGGATTAAATGCCACCATAAATATGAAACTGAATAATGAGTGTATACAGTAATCACTCAGTAAATGCTGGCAATATTGTTATCACCACTTATTTCTTGAGATTCATTACTCCAGTTGTGTATCTGTTACTCTGCAACTCTGTTATCCTTAGCTGAAAAATTTGGTAGAGATTCTCACATTTTGCTTCTTCGAGTAGCTATGGCTACAAATATGGTACTGAACGCTGGAAACAAGTGCTAGTCTAAGAGTTGGTTGCCTTTTACAGAGATTTTTAACAGCTAATCAAGAAAAAACAGGAACAATCTTTAATAATTACAATTGGTGAAAGTAAAACTAACTGGCTTGGAAAATTATTTTAAAAAAAAAACTTCCTAATTATCCGGATTCCAAGCCTTCATACCATTCTGAGTTCTCCTGCACCACCATCTTTAAATATGATGTCTTACATTTACATTCTTTTGGTTATTTTTTTCCTTAACCCCCTTTAAAATTGTTAAAAATTATTACACTCAGCTCCTTTACAAATAATTTTTGGAGCCACTTTTATTATGAATCTGAGCTCATATTACCTTTAGAATTTTTTTCATCAGACAACTCCCTATCATAATCTCCTCAAAAGTAATTTCAATTTTCATTACTTCAAGCTTCATTGAGGTAAACTGGTCAAAATTTGTGTCTGTTTAAGGTGTACAATGTGATAATGTCATATAAATACACATTATGAAGTTATTACCACAATCAAGCTAATGAACATATACATCACCTGTTAACATTACCATTTTCATGTGTATGGTGAGAACACTTAAAGTCCACTCTATTAGCAAATTTCCAATATGTATGCCATAAATGAGATTTTTCAGAACTTATTAATCTAACAAACTTTCTGTGCTTTTACCAAAATATTTGCAAATCATACATCTGATAAGGTGTTAACATCCAAAATACATAAGGAAATCAACCCACTCAATAGCAAAAAACACATAACCCACTAAAAAGAAGAGTATAAGCCTGAATAGACATTTCTCCAAAGATGACATGCAAATGGTCAACGGGCATATAGAAAGGTGCTCAGTATCATTAATCAGGGAAATGCAAGTCAAAACCACGATGAGATCACATCACACCTGTTAGAATGACTAATATCAAAAAGATAAAAGATAACAAGTGTTTATAGGGATGTGGAGAAAAGGGAACCCCCGCACACTGTTGGTGGGAATGTAAATTGGTACAGCCATTATGGAAGACGATATGGATATTTCTCAAAAAATTAATTTCTTATTTTAATGTTGAATCTCTAATTTTTTTCTGTCCAATTTCACCAAACAAAAACCTTGGCAATTTTTATTATATAAATTAAAATATAATTTAAATTTCTTTATACTCTTGGAAAGATAAGTTTTGTTCTCTTAATTCCAACATATGTTAACTCATCACTTATAAAGAAGACTTTAGGTTGACATTAAGATGTCCTACCATTTATATTTCTTGTAAATAATTTTATCCCTAGACTTCCTAAATAATGAGGAAAGATTATCTCGGCATATATACACACATGCACACGCAAACGTGGTGCAATAGAACTTCAGATAGTATTCATGTTAGCTTACTACCCAATGATTTTTATTTGCTCTTCATAATAGGTAGAAATGGAAAAGTCATGACCAGGTAAATATGCCCAGCCACATGTCTAATTTCTATGTATTTCCCATGTGTTCGATGAAGAAAGTAAACCTAAAGTGTGATGAACATGTTAGCGACAATATAGATATATCACAATATTATCTCACATTTGATCTTTTGAAATGCCTTAGGTTGCAGTGATGATAAAGGACTTCGTGTTACAATACTTTGGAAACCACACATCACTATGTTTTATAGATTTGACTTGAATATAGTATGTTTTTTCTGCTTGTAATTCCTAATCTGAATGATCATCATAATCTCTTAGGTTGATTTTAAAATCCCTGATCTATATATCAAAGTTTACTGATGCACTCTATAAATCAGCTTCAGAATCGACATTTTTGGAATGCTCTCTGGGTGATCCTTTCGTAGCCATCATTTCTAAAGGGTCAGAAACACCATAGGCAAATTTAAAATAGTTATAAATAGATATTTTGCCACTAAGGGCAGACTGTCCTCGTGACTGAATATGTAAGCATTATTATATTTGGTGTTTTTCTCACCAATCTTTTAGTCACTGTCTGATTCTAAGAGCTTTGAGAATATTATAAATTCCCGTCTCTTAAGTATTCTGCTCAACATTAAAAAATGCTTCAGAGTTGATGGTGGCAATCTACAAATGCATGTTTCTGAAATGTATTTACACACAACATTTAACAGTTGCACTACTGTCAGTTTTGAACACTTCCTAATTTTTCAAATCTCTGCTTAGGATCATGTATTATAAGAGCAGAAGTATAGCGCTGGCTGGCTACTCCGGGATAGCACCCAATAGATGTAGAATGGGCCATAGTTGAGTGAATACATGACTGTTCACCATCAGCATTTCTTATTGCTACAGTCTTATTCTGATTCCTATAGAAACACTTGAATTTTCTGTAAAATAACTAGAACTCCTCCATTCTGCCTATAAACATGTTTATTTTCAATCAGAATTCTAACTGTGCATGCATATGTGAGAACTGAAGTCTCAACAGGTTTCTAACTGACTTTTCTAGATTACACCAGTCTAAAGGTGAGGAGTAATGGGATCGCTTCAAGATTACAACTTTATTGTAGTAGGATTTTTATAGAAAATGGAACAAGAAACTTTGAATGATAGTAAACAGAGACATCATGCATCACATAATGTCTGTCAGGAAGGATTTTTATGAGCTCATGAGGTAATCGGTCTGCAATTGTAATTCTTAGAGCCAAACTTATATGTGCCCTTTGAGTGCTCAGAACTCTGCTTTTCCTGCTTTGTACTCTGGAACACAAGCAAAAATGCTCCTTAGAGATATGTAAATACCAATACAAGGAAAGAGAGTCACTGATACACAGTCAAAATCATCCCCCAAGGGCAAAATTCTAAGCTTGGAGAGATATCTCTATGTTGACTGCTACAATGTGAAAATGCATATGTGTGTTTTGAAATGAGAGCCAGAACTTTGTCTCATTGACACTGGAGTGATTTATCTAGTTACCATAGAGATGAATATAAACTCCAAGACAAATCTCTGTTATTCACATTTTAGAAAGTGGGCCCAGGACTCCCATGTGTTAAAATTGTACTGAAGCATTTGGTTTGCTTGTAATTATTACATTGACAGAGATTTGCTAGGTTTAAAGAACCTGCTGTCAATTTTAGAACAACAGAGGGTGGAATAATAAATGATATTTATGAGAAGAGCCAATAGTATCACTTTGATGATTTATTTATTTCTAAAAAGAATATAAAAGATGCTTTAAGGTGTCATGTAAAGTTTTTAATTTTTTCATTATTTTTTTTTTTGAGACCAAGTGTCGCTTTGTCACCCAGGTTAGAGTGCAGTAGCACCATCTCGGCTCACTGCAACCTCCACCTCCCAGGTTCAAGCGATTCTCCAGCCTCAGCCTCCGGAGTAGCTGTGACTACAGACGTACGCCACCACATCCAGCTAATTTTTGTATTTTTAGTAGAGACGGGGTTTCACCATGTTGGCCAGGCTGGTCTTGAACTCCTGACACCAGGTGATCCACCCGCCTTTGCCTCCCAAAGCGCTGGTATTACAGGCGTGAGCCACTGCACCCAGCCAAATTTCTTAATTTTTATACTGACTTAAATTACTTTAAATGCATTATGTAATTTTGAGAAAATACTAATAAGAAATTGGACTAAAGAAAATGCTCCTCTGAGAAGCTACAAATATGAATGCAAATATTTACTTTTTTCTCCAAAAGATATCTTCATAAATTTGGACATTTTCTGCCTCAGTCCACTTGTGCTGGTATAAAAGAGTACCTGAGGCTGGGTGATTTACAAAGGAAAGAAGTTTATATGACTCACAATTCTTCAGGCTGTACAAGAAGCATGGCTCCAGCATCTGCTTCTGGTGAGGGCTTCAGGCTACTTTTGCTCATGGCAGAACATGAAGCAGAGCTGGGATGTCCAGCGATCACAAGGTGAGAGAGCAGAAGGAAGAGAGAGGGGAAAGAGGTGCCAGACTCTTTTAAACAACCAAATCTATGGGGGAACGAATAGAGTAAAAGTTCACTGATGACCATGAGGAAAACACCACGCCATTCGTGATGGATCCACCTCTGTGACCCAAACACCTGCCACTGGGCCCCACCTCCAAAACTGGGGATCTAATTTGACCATTTGGAGGCGTCACATATGTGAACCATAGCAACTTTGTATTGGTTTTTCTCATTCATTTCTCTACAAATAATTATCTAACGCTTAAGGTGTTTAGCATATGCTAGATACTTTAAAAAAATGTTTTAAATACATGGATTGATTTAATCCTCACAATAAGGAATTGTGAAATATGGTCTTAATACTCTGATTTTATACATATGGAACTGGGAAACAAAGAAGCTATATATGCTGGTCAAGATTACAGATTAAAGTACAAACTGTGTGCTGAATATAGTCAGTCTCACAAGTCTAAACGTGACAATAGCATGAGACTGCATCTCTAACGCTTAAGCACGTGGATTCTAGGAAACAGACTACTTAGAATCAACTATTGTAGTACTTCCAAAGATTTTAATATCTGTAATTCAAAACATCTTCTTAAAACCCTCTTAGGTATTAGAGCAATTAGGTAGGTTAATTGGCTATTTTAACATCACATAGCCAGTGAATTTTAGGACTAGTAAAATTAAGTACTTTAAATTCTAATCACACTTTCTACAGCAATAAAGAGTCTGACTCCATGTTTGATGTTTGACTGCTGGAAGCTATTTGGCCCCATTTCCATCTCTTTCCCTCTAGCACTTATCAGGGCAAGTTGATAAATAAGACCACAGGTCCCTCGGCACCACTGGAAATACAAGCCACATAATCCATAACCCAAAAGCTGGAACATGTTCACAAATCTACCCCCTACCAAGAAAAAGAACTCCAAGCCAACCCTCACCCACTTGCTCGAGTCATTCCAGACTGGCTTGTGTACCAGTCTTACATGCCCCAGGAAGTCTCTTTACTTGAATAATAAACCCTCTCAATGCACATTTGCATCAGTCTCAACATTCACACCAGATTTAGGTGAAGAGTTGATTTATGCCCCTACTGGAGTACCACAAATATCTACCAATATCCACATTTCAAGAGCTAATTATCAATCATTTTCATTATATAATTATGAAGTTAGCAGATACAGGTAATAGTTTGCCCAACTGGGTCAAGTATTCATTCATATTAGCAATGAAAATTTCACTTTTAACAAATAAATATATGATTCAATTTTAAGTACGCTACCATGTAGTCAAAAATTTAGGAATAGTCACTGATAATAAAACCACCCAATAATGTAAAATAAGGTAATTTTTAATCAGTTATGCAGTCCCTAAAAAAAAGTATTATTATATAATCCACCAATTTTACTTGAAATGATTGAAAGCAGGAACTCAGATATTGTATACCCATTTTTATAGCAATATTATTCACAATAGCCAAAAAGTGTGAGAAACTTAAATGTTCAACTTAACTGTATTTTGTTAGTGTAAGTATACAATGAAATATTATTCAGCCTTAAAAAGGAATGAAACTCTGATACATGCTATAATATAGATTAACCTTGAAGACATTATGCTATGTAAAATAAGCCACACATAGTAGGACAAATTTTATGTTATGAATATGTGACCACAATAAAAAGCAGTTAAAAAATTATCCCAATGCAACCAAGTCTACTGTTTTATTACATTTCAGTTTTTTTAAAAATATATACATATATATATGATTTTTTTAATGCCTTTGCATGTATTCTGAAACCTAAACACAACTTTCATTGCAAACAAACAGTAAGGATTGAGTGTCTTTGGCTCTAATACGGAGACTCTATTTCTAATAAAGCTTGTGAATAAAGAATATTCCCTTTACACTGATTGATAAAGGATTGCTGCCAGTACTGACTTTTCAGAAGAAATTAAGGTAACTATTTACTTTTTCTTATTTGCCTCCTCCCACAACATGATATAAGATGACAATAAAGGGCAAGACAAATAATTGCATGTTACAGTCAATATTAAATATTAGAATCTTTCTGCTATCTATATAGAATTTATGGTTTACAAAAAAAGTATTAAATATCCTAGGAATAAGAAGTATAATTTTCTTCCTGAATCTAATTTCTTTCTATTCTAATATAAGCCTTATAATCAATATATATTAACAAAGAAGGCAAAAAATGCTTTCTACTTATATACAAGAGATCAAATCTTATTAAATATCCACAAAACAATGCACATAAAAATCACGAAGTAAAAATAGATATTTCATTTCCTACATGCATACATGGTAAATAATGCACCCTTCTCATTAGAAAATATCTTGATATCAAAGAGAGCAGGGTGTTGGATACGAGATTAACTCCTCATTCTTTTATGGGATTATCATGGATCATTATACAGTTACAGAAATATAAACAAAACCAGCATGATTTGGGTGGATAGGCAAGGAAGATCCTGGGGTCACTAACGCTTTAAAGAGATGTAGCCACACCACAATAGTAAATTCTCCTACCATTTATCTCTGCAGGCATTCCAAATCAGCAGAAGTGATCATTTTAATGAGAAGGTTTTAGGTCGTCTTTGCAACCCAGCTGGCCGATTCCTTCCATATGTTCATTCCAATAGCTTTAACATCAGGGGAGAAAACCCTCTGGTAATCCTAACTTCCTTCAACTTCTTTCAGCAAACAGATGCTTGCAGAGCAAGAATAAGACATGTTTGTCTATTATGAACTCACAGAACCTGAAGCCTTTTCTCTTTTTTTTTATTTCTTTTCTTTTTTTTTTGAGAGATGGAGTCTCACTGTCTTGCTTAGGTTGGTCTCCAACTCCTTGCCTCAAGCAATCCTCCCGCCGCAGCGTCCCCACGTCCCACATGCCCAGGCTGCTTCTTAAATAAAACATTTCAAGAATGCAAACTCCTCTACTCTCTTTTTCAACAAATTCTCAATTAGTTGTCTGTGTTTCTATGCACTCTAAGAAGTTCATTTTGACTATGTATAATTATATTATGATAATATAGTAATACTATATTTCACTCGAACTGGGATAGAATTTTGCTCATGTGACATGTTTATTTTTTATGTGTGCTTTATTATGGCACGTTAGTACTTAATAGAGTATTGTGTAATCTGAAATCAAAGTAATTTTGCTTATGTAACTGAATAATCTGTTTTTTGTCTTCTCCAATATCCTAGGGTTTTAATGCCTCATTGGAAAACTGGCACCTTTACATTCTGGAAAAAAAAAAAAAAAACTCTTTTAATGATTCATAAGCATTTAGTCAGAAGAACTTAAAGAGCATTTTATTTTTTAATAGCTTTCCCATGTGTCCAAGAGTTATTCTAAGGTTGTCCCAGAAACATTATATGTTCATAACTATGGAAGCCAGAGTAGCTTCAAAGATTTTGTGTTTTTTTTAACACCAAACTAGATAATTGCTTTTAAACAAAAAGTATGCTTTGCAAGGAAGAGACATCTATTTTGACAGTTTCTCAAAATTGATTGCTTCTTTTCTTACTAATAAAAGAAATTACATAAATCATCAGTTAATCAGGATGGTCAAAATCAAATTTTCAGACACTTCTTGTTTCAATATGAATTGTCCAAAACTTATACCATCACCATATTTAGACTAGGAAATAAAATGAGATTGGTGTGGTATAAGGAACACTGAGTTCTAGCATCATGTTTATTAATGCTTTAATGAACTTGTGTAAGAAATTTAATCGCTATATGCTTGTTAATACATAAGAAATGGGAATCATAATCAATATATCAAATACTTTTGAGGGTGTCTGTGTGATGTAGAATTGCAGATTAGAAAAGAGTGCTAGTTCTTTAGCCCCTTCTCTGTACCTTTCGCATTGCATGTTCCCCTCAGATGTATTGGCCCATACCTGTCTCTCAAACCCTTACCAAAGAGCCCTGCAAACTGCTCCTGTCTCCTGCCACTACTTCAGAATTCATATAAAGTTGCTGAAAGGGCAGGGACATGCAACCCAGATAAGAGGGAGTTAACTCCCTATGAGCATACTTGAATCAATGGCATATGGGAAATCAGAGGAACTAGTAGACAAAAATCTATTTCACTTCTCCTCTTCAATAGATTCTTCCAGTCCTGCATTTTCTGCAAGGCCTCTGTAGAGATGTCTCAAGTGTCTGAGTGACTGCTTGACTCTCCTCATGAGCAATAGTAAGCTTAATAATGCATCATCTTGCTGGGGGAAAAAAGATTATTACTCATGAACTTTTAAAAGTAAAGTTCTCTAAGTGGTACCATAGGAGATGTTCAGAATGACCAGGGATACATGGTATCCCTAGTTTAGCACCTGCCCTAGTACAGGGACATTCAGGAATGTTTGTAGGAGGATGTTTTAAATGAGACTTGTCTACTATTTAGGAATTGTCTTGGGTAAAGAAAAGTCCATTAGAGACATCATCATATTTAAGGATCCCCACAAGCAGAAGAGGGTATGGCAGGAGAACATGAGAGATTATGAGGGGGAGGTATATATCATTTTGTGTTAAAAAGCCAAACTACGATAACAAAAAATAATAAAGTATTTTTAAGTATTTATTTTGATATAATTACTTTAACATAAAACATGAATTTTTAGCATATTTTCAATTAAGATAATATTTTAATGTCCTTTTTTTGAACTTGCACTGGATGTTCTATTTTTTGTATTTTTATTTCTCCTTTGTTTTATTTGCAACCTTGGGCTTAACTATAAAATTATGGCTCACACTTTTAACACATTTTCTTTGCCATAAAGCAAGCCTCTGAAGGGATATACTTTATGCATTACAGCAAATGATATTTTTTAATAGGCACCACTTATTTTATGCAGATTAAAATACATTGCAATTTTTAAATGGCAATCAAGTAAAAATATCTTTCCTCATAGATTTTTGTGTCTCATTCACTTCGCTCAGTTTTCATAGTGCTAATCCAAAGGAAGATCCTTCTTTTATTTTTCTACTTAGAAGTCTTAATATAGAATTAAGAGCAAGACCTAAAAGATGTGTCTGATCCATTACAAGTCCATGTGAACTAGTTTTGTTTTGGCTAATCATTTAAACCAATAGAAAACAATTTTTAGAAGTTGTTTAACCTGCTTTTGCTCACTATGTTAGTGTCTATAAAGAAAATGATAACATTCAGTTCTCAAGTACAGGGAGAATTCAAGATGGCTGACTGGAGGTGCCTGGCACTTGCCTTCTCCACAAACAAGGACCAAAACAGTGAACAGATAACAATATGTCAAATAAAGCATCTAAGGCAGAACCATGGAATTCAGCAAGGAAGTGACAGGGCACCTCTGAGGCATAAAAAAAGAGTGAACTGAGACAGTCTACCTGGCCAATATCAACTTGGAGCCAGAAGGAATGCCCCATTATGGGGAAAAGGTAAGGAAGAGATCTCAATAGGTCCACATTCCCACCATGACTCCTGCAATCCTAGCTACAGGAGAGCCCCTTGACCTTCAGGGGCCTTAAACTAGAATAGAGAGCTTCTTGGAATCCAAACAATGACATTGTTCCAGAGACAATATTCACGCTGTATCCCACACACTGCCTGAGACCAAAGCAACTGTAGCACTTTGCTATTTTGAGAGTCAATCCCCCACTAGACATCCTTCCCTGGAGCCCCAAAGCCCCTGCATCTCCACATCCCTAAGGCCCCACTAATATTTCCACCTCCAGGTCAACCAAGAGGGATATAGCACCGTCATACCGCGGGACCCCTTGGTATGATTGGGTCCCAAGTACTCTAGACAACACAGTGTCCTACACTGGAAGGAATGAGTGGAGCAACTCAGCAGGGAAGCAATCCCTGGAAAAAGGTAGCCAGGGCACATGCTTCTCAGAGACTGAGAGCCATCTGCTTGGGGCTGCTGCCACTAACAGAAACCCTGCCCCTTCAGCAGCAGGATTACTGCACACTTGCACCAGCCTTCAGATGGCTTTGTCACTAGCATTCCCACAAACCATCCCAAAGCCTGAGGACCATCCTGCTATGCCCAATGTCACTGCCACTGCCACTCCCACCAGCATCCAAACACACTGCCCAAGGATCTGGAGACTGACCTGCTCCACCTGTTCCCATCAGCACCTGCATGCACCATTTTGGGATCTGAGGACAGGCTCATGCTTAATACTGCTGCCAACATCATCACTTGCACACATCATTCAGGGATACAGAGATTAACTTGCACTGGCCATCACTGTTGGCACCTGTGCATGTCATCTGGGAACTTGGGGCACCCAGCCCACCACCACCAGTGAACACACAAACCATCCAGGAGACCAACATGCCCACTACTGGCACTCACACAGGCCTTCTGAGGCCTCAGGGATGAGCCCACTCAGCCTGCTGCCAATGGCACCCACCCATGTGCACCTGAGGGTTGGTCTGCTGCTTCTAATGTCACTGCTAATGCCACACATGCCACCTGAAGGCCTGAGCATCCCCCTTCCCAGCCCATTGCTGATACTGCTATTGCCCAAGCATACCACCTAGAGACTCAAATATTGACTTGCCTAAACCTGTCAATGATGATGCCCACCTATACCATCCGGGTGCCTGAGGACTGGGACACCCAGTTCACTGCACCACCACTGGTGCCCAAGAACTGGCCTACCAGGCTTCCTCATCCCCAAGAAAGCCTCAACAGTGTCCACTAAAATCTGCAGCCTAAGCTCATGAAGATCTCACAGATACTACTGAAATTGATTACAGATGAAGAAATCATATAAAGACTACACTACTGTATCCACCCAGAATCAAAGTCAAAGTGCTCTAATCAAGCAACAATGGAAACATAGATACAGAAAAACATCTTTCCCTATGAAAGCCAGTCTGTATAATTACAATAAGCAACTGTTATACCATATGTGTAGATATCAGTTTAAGGACACATGAAATGGGGAAAAAAATAAAATAAAAGACACCTCTAAAGCAACACAATAATTCTCCAAGGACAGAATAGAAAAAAAAAGGAAATCTGTGAAATGTCTGAAAAATAATTCAAAATTACGAAATTAAAGAAACTCAGTGAGATACAAAATAACACAGATAAAGAAAACAATGCATGATCTAAATGAGAAATTCAACAAAAGATGATAAATAACTATAAAAAAGAACCAATCAGAAATCCTGAAATTGAAGAATTCAATGAATAAAATGAAAATTACAACCAAGAGGTTTGACAACGGATGAGATTAAGCAAAATAAAGAATTTCTAACCTTAAAGATAGGCCATTCAATATAACTCACTCTGATTAAAAATAAAAGTAAAGAAAATTTATGTGACATAAACACCATTAGCAAAAAAAAAAAAAAAATGAATTTAGACATTTCCAGAAGGAGAAGAGATGTGCAAAGGCATAGAAAACCTATTTAACAAAATAAGAGTTGAAATATTTTCAAGTCTTTCAAGAGACTTGGACATACAGATATAGAAAGCTTAAGAATCTTCAAATAGATCCAGTCCCCAAAATATCTTTTCCAAGGTACATTATAGTTAAACTGTAAAAAGTAAAAGACAAAGAGAGAATTCTAAAAACAACCAAATGAAAAGCATCCAGTTACCTATAAAGAAACTATCATCAGAATAAGAACAATTTCTCAGAAGAAACCTTACAGACCAGGAAAGAATGGGTATTATATTTAAAGAGCTAAAAGAAAAAACAACTGGTAGATAAGAAAACAAATACAAAAAATCAACAAAGAAATATCAGATATACTCTGCTCCACAAGCCAAATGAAATTAACAGATACTTACAAAACATTTCATCCAAGAACTGCAGAGTATACATACGTCTCATCAGCACAAAGAATATTATACAGGATGAGCCATATTTTAGGCCACATAACAAGTTTCAACAAATTTTCAAAAAGTCAAATTTGTATTAAGTATCTTCTTAGATTACCACAGGAAAAAAACTGGAAATATATAACAAGAGAAGCTTTATACATGTACAGATATATGGAAATTAAAGAATGTGGTCCTGGATGATCATTGAATCAATAAAGAATTTGAAAAGAAAATAATTTTTTGAAATAAATAAAAATGGAAACATAGAGGACTTACCTCAATCTATGGAATACAGCAAAAGCAGTGCTCAGAAGGAAGTTTATAGCAATAGACACTTACATAAAAAAGCAGAAATAGTTCAAATAAACAACCTAATTATGCACCTTAAGAAACTAGAAAAACAAGAAGAAATCAAACACAAAATTAGTAAAAGTAAAGAATACAGATCAAAGCAGAACTAAGGAAAATAGAGGCTAAAAACACACAAAAAATGAAGCTTAATGAAAAACTTATTGTTTGTTTGAAAAGATAAACAAAACATAATCAGTAAAATAACCAAAAAAAGAGAGAGCAAAACACTCACATAAATACAATCAAAAATGAAAAGAAGATATTACAACTGATACTACAGAAATAAAAAGAGTCACTAGAGAATATTATGGAAAACCCTATGCTAAAAAATTGGAAAACAGAAACGGATAAATTTCTGGGCATATACAACGTACCAAGGTGGAATAAGGAAGGAATAGGAAACCTAAACAACACGATAATGAGTAATGAGATTTAAATCAATCATAAGAAGTCTTCCACCAAAAGAAAGCTCAAAATTAGATATCTTCACTGCTAAATTCAGAAAAACTTTTTGAATAACTAGTATTCATATTCTCAACCTGAAGGATATGAAAAAGTTGAAGTGAAGGAAATTCTTCCAAACTTATTCTCTGAGGCCAATGTTACCTTGATACCAAAACTAGCCAAGGACACAATAAAAGAAAACTATAGGCTAATATTCTTGCTTAATACAGGTGCAAAAATCCTCAACAAAATACTAGTAAACTGAATCCAACACCACATTAAAAACATATGAGAGGCTGAAGTGAGAGGATTGTTTGAGCCTGGGAGATTGAGGTTGCTTTGAGCCATGATCACACCACTGTACTCCAACCCGGGTGACAGAGTGAGACCCTGTCTCAAAAATAATTAATTAAAAGACAATATAGCATGATTAAGTGGGATGTGTACCAGAGATACAGGATGATTTAACATACGCAAATCAATAAATGTGATACATCACATTAACAGAATGAAGCACAAAACCATTTGATCATCTCAATAGAAACAGAAAAAGCAATTGGTAATATTCAACATCTCTTCATGATAAAAACTCTCAACAACTTAAGCATAGAAGGAACATACCTCAACATAATAAGGCCATATATGACACATCCACAGACTGAATTGGAAAAAGCTGACTGCCTTTTCTCTAAAAAGTAGAATAAGACAAAAAATATGCATTTTTTACCACTTTTATTTCAACATAGCACTGGAAGTCTTACTCAAAGCAATCATACAAGAGGAAGAAATAAAACTAATCTAAATTGGAAGACAGGAAATCTCCTTTTGCAGATGACATGACCTTATATATGGAAAAACCTACAGATATCACAACCAACAAAAACGTTTTACAACTGATAAACGAATACAGTAAAGTTGCAAGATACAAAATCAACGTACAAATACGAGTAGTGTTTCTATATACCAATAGCAAACTAGCTAAAAAAATCAAGAAAGTAACATCAGTTACAATACACACACACACACACACACACACTCACACTAAAATACTGAGAAATAAATTTAACTGAAGAGGTTAAAGACTTCTTAAAATTAGGCAGCACCGATGGAAGAAATTCAAGAGGACACAAACAAATGGAATAAGAGCCAATGATCTTGGATTCAAAGTATTATTACAGTTAAAATGATGCATAACCCAAAGTAATCTGCAAATTCAATGCAATCTGTGTCAAAATAATAATTATATTAATCACAGAAATAGAAAAACAAGCCTAAAATCTGTTTGGAACCAGAAAAGAATTCTAATAGCCAAAATGATACTGAGCAAAAGAAAAAAAGCTGGATGCACCACACTACCTGACTTCGACTCATGTTCTCAAGCTAGGGTAACCAAAACAGTATGGTATTGGCATAAAAACAGACAACTACATGAATGGAACAGAATACAGAATACAGAAGTACATCCATGTATGTATGTATGTATGTATGTATGTATGTATGTATTTTATTTCTATGGGTTTTGGGGAAACAGGTGGTGTTTGGTTACATGAATAAGTTGTTTATTGATGATTTCTGAGATTTCGGTGCACCCATCACCGGAGCAGCATACACTGTACCCAATGTGTAGTCTTTTATCCATCACTCCCCTCCCACACTTCCTCACAAGACCCCAAAGTCTATTGTATAATTCTTATGCCTTTGCATCCTCAGAGCTTAGCTCCCACTTATAAGTGACAACATACAATGTTTGGTTTTTCATTCCTGAGTTACTTCACTTAGTATAATAGTCTCCAATTGAATCCAGGTTGCTGTGAATGTTATGATTTCATAACAGTCATGATTTATATATATATATATATATATAGAGAGAGAGAGAGAGAGAGAGAGAGAGAGAGAGAGAGAGGGAATTTTCTTTATCCCATCATTGATTTATGGGTATTTGGACTGGTTCCATATTTTTGCAATTGCGAATTATGCAGCTATAAACATATATGCACAAGTGTCTTTTTCATATAATGACTTCTTTCCCTCTGGGGAGATACTCAAGAGTGGGATTGCTGGATCCCACTCTTTTTGTGATATAAACTTAAAGTATAGTTTGAAGGTGGGTAATGTGATGCCTCCAGATTTGTTCTTTTTGCTTAGTTTTGCCTTGGCTATCCGGGCTCTTTTTTTGTTCCATATGAATTTTAGCATTGTTTTTTCTACTTCCATGAAGAATGATAGTGGTATTTTGATGGGAATTGTATTAAATTTATAGATTGCTTTTGGCAGTATAGTCATTTTCACAATATTAATTCTACCCATCCAGGAGCATGGGATGTTTTTCCATTTTTTTGTGTCATCTATGATTTCTTTCAGCAGTGTTTTGTAGTTTTCTTTGCAGAAGTCTTTCACCTCCTTGGTTAGGTATATATCTTTTTTTTTTTTTCCAGCTATTGTAAACGAGGTTGAGTTCTTGATTTGATTCTCTGTTTGGTCACTCTTGGTGTATAGCCAAGCTACTGATTTGTGTATATTGACTTTGTATTTTGAAGCATTATGAATTTATTTATCTGATTTGGGAGCTTTTTGAATGAATCTTTAGGGTTTTCTGCGCTTACAATCATAACAGTGAACAGTGAGAGTGCGACTTTCTCTTTACCAAATTTGTATGCCCTACATTTATTTCTCTTGTCTGATTTGCTCTGGCTAGGACTTCCAGTACTATATTGAACAGACATGGTGAAAGTGGAAATCTTTGTTTTCTTCCAGTTCTGAAGAGGAATGCTTTCAACTTTTCCCTACTCAGGATAATGTTGGCTGTGGGTTTGTCATAGATGGCTTTTATTACCTTGATGTATGTCCATTATATGCCAGTTTTGCTGAGGGTTTTAATCATAAAGCGATGCTGGATTTTGTCAACTACTTTTTATGCATCTATTTGGATTATCATGTGATTTTTGTTTATCACATTTATTGACTTGCGTATGTTAAACCACCCCTGCATCCCTGGAATGAAACCCACTTGATCATGGTGGATTATCTTTTTGATATGTTGTTGGATTCAGTTATCTAGTGTTTTGTTAAGGATTTTAGCATCTATGTTCATCAGGGATATCAATCTGTAGTTTTCTTTTTTTGTTATGTCCTTTCCTGGTTTTCATGTTGGGGTGATACTGCTTCATAGAATGATTTAGAAAGGAAGTCCTCTTTCTCTGTCTTTTGGAATAGTTCAATAGGATTGGTACCAATTCTTCTTTGAGTGTGTGATAGAATTCAGCTGTGAATCTATCTGGTCCTGGACTTTTTTTTTTGTTGGCAAGTTTTTTATTACCATTTTAATCTCACATTTATTGGTCTGTTCAGAGTTTCTATTTCTTCGTGGTTTAATCTAGGAGAGTTGTGTATATCCAGGAATTTATCTATCTCCTCTATGTTTTCTAGTTTGTGCATATAAAGGTGTTCACATTAGCCTTGAATTTTCTTATTATCTTTTGTACTTCTGTTGTGTCATTTGTAATATCTCCCATTTCATTTTTTTTCCTCTCTCTCTCTCTTTTTTTAGACAGAGCCTCACTGTCACACAGGTTGGAGTGCAGTGGCATGATCTTGGCTCACTGCAACCTCCGCCTCCCGGGTTCAAGTGATTCTCCTGCCTCAGCCTCCTGAGTAGCTAGGACTACAGGTGTGTGCCACCATGCGAGGCTAATTTTTGTATTTTTAGTAGATACGGCGTTTTACTATGCGGCCAGGCTGCTCTCAAACTCCTGACCTCGTGATCCACGTGACTCGGCCTCCTAAAGTGCTAGGATTACAGGGGTGAGCCACCGCACCTGGCCCTTTTTTTTTTTTTTTTTTTTTAGACATAGTTTTACTCTGTAGCCCAAGCTGGAGTGCAGTGGAACAATCTCAGCTCACTGCAACCTCCACCTCTTAGGTTCAAGCGATTCTTGTTTCTCAGCCTGCCAAGTAGCTAGGATTACAGGTGCATGACACCATACCTGGCTAATTTTTGTATTTTTAGTAGAGATGGAGTTTCACCATGTTGGCCAGGCTGGTCTCAAACTCCTGACCTCAAGGGATCTGCCCGCTTTTGCCTTCCAATGTGCTGGGATTACAGTTGTAATCGGCCTCCCGTTTCATTTCTAATTGAGCTTATTTGGATCTTCTCTCTTCTTTTCTTGGTTAATCTCACTAATGGTCTATCAGTTTGTTTGTCTTTTCAAAGAACCAGCTTTTTGCTTCATTTATCTTTTGTATTTTTTTTGGTTGTTTCCATTTCATTTAGTTCTGCTCTGATCTTTGTTATTTCTTGCGTTCTGCTGGGTTTGGGTTTGGTTTGTTCTTGTTTTTTTAGTTCCTTTAGGTATAAGCTTAGATTATTTATTTTTGTTTTTTTACACTTTATGATGTAGGCTTTTAATGCTAGGAACTTTCCTCTTAGCATCACTTTTGCTGTACCTCAGAGGGTTTGATAAGTTGTGTCACTATTATTCAGTTCATAGAATTTTTAAATTTCCAACTTGATTTCCTTGTTGACCCAATTCTCATTCAGAAGCAAATTATTTAATTTCCATGTATTTGTATGGTTTTGAGAGTTCCTTTTGGAGTTGATTTCCAATTTTATTCCACTGTGTACTGAGAGAGTACTTGATATTATTTCAATTTTTTTATATTTATTGAGACTTGTTTTGTGAACTGTCATATGGTCTATCTTGGAGAATGTTCTCTGTTCATACTAGAATGTATATTCTGCAGTTTTTGGGTAGAATTTTCTGTAAGTATCGGCTCATTACATTTGTTCTAGAATATATTTTAAGTCCATGGTTTCTTTGCTGACTTTCTGTCTTGATCTGTCTAGTGTTGACAGTGGAGTATTGAAGTCCCCTAATATTATTGTGTTGCTGTCTGTCTCATTTCTTAGGTCTAGTAGCATTAGCTTTATAAATTTGGGAGCTCCAGTAGGTGCATATATATTTAGAATTTTGATATTTTCCTGTTTGTGTAGTCCTCTTATCATTATATAATGTTCCTCTTTGTCTTTTGTAACTGTTGTTGCTTAAAAGTCCATTTTGTCTGATATCTAAATAGCTAATCCTGCTGGCTTTTGGTGTCCATTTGCATGGAATACCTTTTTCACCCCTTTATCTTAAGTTATTGTGAGTTCTTATGTGTTAGATGAGTCACTTAAAGACACCAGATACAGGGTTGGCGAATTCTTATCCTTTCTGACATTCTGTATCTTTTAAGTGTAGTATTCCGGCCATTTACATTCAACATTAGTATTGAGATGTGAGCTACTAGTAATTCTATTTATCATGTTAGTTGTTGCCTGAATACCTTGTATGTGTTTTTGTTTTATTTGTTGTGTTATTGTTTTATAGGCCCTGTGAGATTTATGCTTTAAGGGGGTTCTATTTTGGTGTATTTTGAGGTTTTATTTTAAGATTTGAAACTCTTTTTAGCAGTTTTTATAGTGCTGTCTTGGTAGTGGTAAATTCTCTCAGCATTAATTTGTCTGAAAAAGATTGTATCTTTCCTTTATTTATGAAACTTAGTTTTGCTACATACGAAATTCTTGGCTAATAATTGTTTTGTTTAAGGAAGCTAAAGATAGGACTCCAATCTCTTCTAGCTTGTAGGGTTTGAGAAATCTGCTGTTAATCTGATAGGTTTTCCTTTATAGGTTACCTGATGCTTTTGCCTCACAGCTCACAGCTCTTAAGCTCACAGTTTAAGAGCCTCATAGCTCTTAAGGTTCTTTCCTTCATCTTGCCTTTAGATAACATGATGACTACCTGCCTAGGTGATGATCCTTTTGTGGTTAAATTCCCTGGGTGTTCTTTGTGCTTCTTATGTTTGAATGTCTAGTTCTCTAGCAAGGCATGGAAATGTTCTTTGATTATTTTATACAATAAGTTTTCCAAACTTTTAGATTTATCTTCTACCCCAAGAACACTAATTGTTTTTGGGTTTGGTCATTTAACATAATTCCAAACTTCTTGGAGGCTTTTTTCATTTTTTAAATTCTTTTTCCTTTGTCTTTGTTGGATTGGGTTAATTTAAAAGCCTTGTCTTTGAGCTCTGAAGTTCTTTCTTCTACTTGTCTGATTGTATTGTTGAAACTTTCCAGTGTACTTTGCATTTCTCTAAGTGTGTCTTTCATTTCCAGAAGTTGTGATTGTTTCTCTGGAGATTTTTTGTCCATATCCTGTTTTTTTTTGTTTTTTTTAATTTATTTAAGTTGTTTTTCACCTTTCTCTGGTGCCTCTTTGAGTAGCTTAATAATTGACCTTCTGAATTCTTTTTCTGGCAATTCAGAGATTTCCTCTTGGTTTGGATCTATTGCTGGTGAACTATTGTGATCTTGGGGGTGTTAAATAATCTTGTTTTCTCATATCACCAGAATTGTTTTTCTAGTTTCTTCTCAATTGGATAGATTATGTCAGAGGGAAGATCTGGGGTTCAATGGCTGCTGTTCAGATTGTCTCATGGGATACCCGCTTAATGTGGTGCTCTCTCCCTACCCATAGGGATGGGGGCTTCCTGAGAGCTAGACTGCAGTGATTCTTATTGCTCTCCAGTCTAGCCACCCAGCAGAGCTAGCAGGCTCTGGGCTAGTACTGGGGAGTGTCTGCAAAGAGTCCTGTGTTGTGAATCTGTCTTCAGGTCTCTCAGCCAGGGATACCAGCACCTATTCTGGTGAAGGTGGCAGGGGATTGAAGTGGACTCTGTGAGGGTCTTTGGTTGTAGTTTTGTTTAGCGTACTGGTTTTCTTGAATGCTAATTGTACTAGCAGTAAAGTTGTCATGTGAACAGACTCAGAACCTCTGGTTAGCCAGGATGTCACAGGTGGCGGAATTAGCTGGTATTTTCTCCTTTCTTGAAGCAGGGTTGTTCTCTTATGAGTTGCTGTAATGGCTTAAGTTGGTTGGCCTCCAGCCAGGAGGTGGTGCTTTAAAGAGAGTATCAGTTGTGGTAGTATAGGGGTGATACAAGCTTACCCTAAGGTCACTTGGATAAGTATTCGGTTTTCTCAGGTGATGGTTGGGGCCACAGAGCTCCCAAGAGATTAAGTGTTTTTTCTTTGGCTACCAAGATGGGTAAAGAAAGACCAGCAGGCAGGGACAAGATTATGCATGTCTGAGCTCAGACTCTTCTTGGGCAAGACTTGTTGTGGCTGCTGTGCAGGATGAAGGTGAGGTTCTCAGGCCAATGGAGTTATGTTCCCAGGGGGGTTATGGATGCTGCTTCTGTGTCATACAGGGTGCCAGGGAAGTGAGGAAAAGCTGGCAGTGACAGGCTTCACCCAACTCCCACACAGCCACCAAGGCCAGTCTCACTCCCACCACGCCCCACCAACAGCACCAAATTTATATTCAGGAAGACTGTGAGCTGGGCTGAGATCTTGCCTCAGGCTACAAGCTTCCCTGATGAGAAAGTAAGCAAGGCTTTCAGGCCTTGCCCCTCCTCACCTGCCTCAGCTTCTGTGCTCATATCTGCACCTCTCGTTTGCCTCCCCTTACCCCCAGATTCTGCCCAGGAAAATTTGTGCTTGATCAAAATTATTGCAAATCTCAGCTGGAAGTTTCTTTCTCCCTGCGGTCTTTTCCCAATTCTGATGGCAGCCCTCCCCAAGGACCACTATGAGATAAAATAGTTTCCTTGGGGACTGGAAGTGCCTATGAGGCTCTTTTTGCTGCTTCTTTTACTTTTATATTTTGCTCAGCCCTCTAAATTCATTTCAGCTCTAAGTAAGGTTAACTCCTTTTCTGTGACATGGATTTTCAGGTTCCTCAGTGAGGATGTATGTTCAGAGGAGGACATGCCTCCTCTCACACTTTGGGCGCTCACAGATTATTGGCTATCTCACCGAGTTTGCAGTGGCAAACCGTTCTTTCAAAGGCTCTGTGAATTCTTTTCTTTTTCTTGGTATGTTTCTGTGGTAGTTCTTGGAGCAAAAGTTCATAATGTGTCTCTACATGCCATTTTTTCCAACCAAGTGGGAGCTGCAAATTAGTCCTGCCTTTTATCTGCCATTTTTCCCCTCAATTCCTAAATCCATGTATTTATAGCCAAATAATTTTTAACAAATCTGTCAAGAACATACATTGCTCAAAGGACATCCTCTTCAAAAATAGTGCTGGGAAAATTAGATATCCATATGCAGAAGAGTGAAACTAGTCACCTCTCCCAATATATGAAAATCAGCTCAAAATGGATAAAAAAATTAAACAAGAGACCTAGACCTTCTACTAGAAGAAAAGATAAGGAAAACACTTCAGGACAAGGTAAAGATTTTATGGCTAAGTCTTCAAAAGCACAGGCAACAAAAATAGGAATATACAAACGAGACAATAGTAAACTAAAACATTTCTGCACAACATAGAAAACAATCAACAAAGTGAAGAGACAACCTGTTGAATGTGAAAAAATATTTGCAAACTACTCATTTGTCTGACAAGAAACTAATATCCAGAATATACAAAGAACTCATACAACTCAGCAACAATAGAAATTCAAGTGATTCTATTAGAAAGTGGGCAAATGGTCTGAATAGATTTCTCAAAAGATGACATACAGATTACCAAGAGGTATATTTAAAAATGGTCAATAGCACTAATCATCAGGTAAATACAAATCAAAACCAAAATGAGATACCGTCTCACCCCAATTAAAATATCTATCATCCAAAGGACACAAAAAAATAGAACTACCATACAATTCAGCAATGTCACTATGAAGTACTTATCTGAAAAAAAAAAAAAAAAAAGGATTCAGTATATCAAAGGGATACCAATACCCTTATGTTTATTGCAGCACTATTCACAATAGCCAAAATATGGATGCAGTGCAAATGTCCATCCATGGATGAATAAATGAAAAACATGGTATATCTACACAATGAAACACTATTTACCCATAAAAATGATTCTGTCATTTGCAGCAACATGGATGGAACTGGAAGTCATCAAGTGAAATAAGTCAGGCACAGAAAAATAAATGCTGCAATGTCTCACTCATATGCAAGAGCTAAAAGAGTTAATCTCATGAAGGAGAAAGATAATCATCAGAATCTGAAAAAGGAGGTAGGGGATGAAAAGAGGTTGATTGAAAACAGATAGTTAAGTAGAAAGAGTAGGTTCCAGTGTTTGGTATCACATTAGAGTGACTATAGTCACAAAAATTGATTGTATATTTCAAAATAGTTAGAATAAAAAATCTGAAATGTTCCCAACGCAGAAAATGTTCAGTGTTAGAAGAGATGGATATCCTACATACCATGACTTGATAATTATATATTGTATGCATGTATCAAAATATCAAATCTATAATTATCTATCAATAAAATAATTTTAGAAAGGAAGAAAAATGCAAAAAATATAAGGCTCATGTACTACTACAAGTTAGCTTCCTCACAATCAAAATAAATCACGTTATATATTATTCACTAACCTTATGTAATATTAGATTAAATGTGGGCATTAAGGTTACTGTAGTCCTATTAGAATATGGTCATTAAGCATCTTTATGGTCAAACTGTGAAGCAAAGTCATTTATTTGTTCCCCTCTTCCATATATATATATGTATATATATATGTATATGTATATATGTATATATATATGTATACATATATATGTATATATGTATATATGTGTATATATGTATATATATGTGTATATATGTATATATATGTGTGTATATATGTGTATATGTATATAAACTTTATATACTAATTAATAAAACAAATAGGAATGCAAAAAGTGAGTGAATTTTCTATTATTTTAGAATTGGCTATTGTCCAGATTTGGAATTCTCCTCTGCTTCATTTTAAAATAATTTTAACCATTTTATTTTAAAGAAATTTATGAACTCTGCCTCAAAACAGCTGGTGAAATGATCTAAACCTTAAATAGGACGCCTCTAAATGGATATATCTTAAATGCAATTGGCTTGAAGAGTGATGTTGTTATTTGTTATCATTATGAACATCGTTTATTTCTAGACATGGTCAGCCATGCACCACTTTCAGTTATATTAGAAATAGAGGGAAGATAAGAATAGAAATAAAAAAGTCAAGATCCAGTCACAGTTGTATATTAAAGAGTCAAATCCAAAGACAGACTTTTAAGACGGAGGATGGAGTTCTTAATCTGAGCAATGACCACCATTTTCATTGCACAAAAATCTGAACAGAGAAGACAGGCAGTTGATGAGTGCAGTTTTTTTCTGGAAATTGTGTAATTGAGACTTCATATCTACCCTTTCCCCACATATTCACATATCTACCACTAAAGAAGGTAGATTAGGCATAACAAAGCCATATTTTTTAGGAAAAATAAGGTAAGAGCCACACTGACTGTTGTGAGATGGTATCTTATTGTGGTTTTGATTCACTTTTCTGTAATAATCAGTGATGTTGAGCTTTTCTTCATGTGATTGTTGGCCATATGCATGTCTTCTTCTGAAAAGTGTCTGTTCATGTCCTTTGCTCACTGTTTTTATTGGGTTGTTATTTTTCTTGTAAATTTGTGTAAGTTCCTTAAAGATGCTGGATATTAGAAAAGCCAGATTGGCTATTAATAAAAAGTCAAAAAATAACAGATGCTGATGAAGTTGTGGAGAAAAGGGAACACTGTTTCTTTTTTTTTTCAAGGCAGAGTCTTCCTCTGTCGTCCAGGCTGGAGTGCAGTGGTGTGATCTCGGCTCACTGCAGCCTTAACCTCCTGGGTTCAAGAAATTCTCCTTCCTCAGCCTCCTGAGTAGCTGGGATTACAGGAGCCTGCCACCATGCCTGGCTAATTTTTGTATTTTTAGTAGAGATGGGGTTAGTTGAGACAGCTGAAAAAGGAACACTTATACACTGTTGGTGGGAGTGTAAATGAATTTAGCCATCATGGAAGAGAGTGGGGCGATTCCTCAAAGATCTAAAGACAGAGCTACCATTTGACCCAGCAATCTCATTATTTCATATATATGGAAAGGAATATAAACATGTGTGTTCATTGAAACACTATTCACAAGAGGAAAGACATGGAATCAATCTAAATGAGCATCAATGATAGACTGAATAAAGAAAATGCAGTACATATACACCATGGAATACTATGCAGCCATAAAAAAGAACAAGATTATGTCCTTTGCAGAAACGTGAATGGAGCTGGAGGCCATCTCCTTTTGCAAACTAACACAGAAACAGAAAACAAAATACCACATGTTCTCACTTATAAGTGGGAGCTAAATAATGGAACACATGGATACATAGAGAGGAACCACAGATATTGGGGCCTATCAGAGGGTGGAGGTTGGGAGTGGAGATGACTGTAACTCATCCGGCCATGCTCTTGTGAGACTAAAAGCCTCCTGGAAATTCCAAGCGCTCCATGTACCACTATAGGCCCTAGCCAAAACCATCTGTGGTCACATGCACATCTAGTTTAAATGGGCACCCCTGGGCTTGTGCCTGCTGAATAGCCTGCTTTTAGTCCCAACTGTGAAAGGGAGCTGAGCTCCTGTGTTTATTAAGAAAGAAGCAGTTAGTAACTGCATATGCTGCCCTTCAGCCTTACAAGAGTGTGACAGGATGAGTTACAGTCATCTTGCAGCTGACGTGCCCAATACTGGGGTGGGCCATTCGTGAGTAATGACCCCCCAGAGTGGAAAGGCACAGACATCCACCTTGCAAAGTGGGGTGCCTATTTAGAACAGTGGAGTATGCTGAGTACAAGTCCCATAGCAGCAGAGTTATAAGAGGGCTTGGGACCTGTAGTCCTAATGCAAGATAAGGCCATGGGGCCTAATGCCATGAGGCCTGAGGCACCCCTAGAGCCTGAGCCATCACCATTTAAGGAAGAGCATCCCCCCTTTCCTAATGGGGCATGGTACACAAATGGGTCTAGCTAGAATGCTACTGCTGTCTGGACTGCTGTTGCCGTTCAACTTAATACTGACACCATATGGTTTGAAACCAGGTGTAGACAGAGGAGCTAATAAGCTAAACTCAGGGCAGTGTAAATGGTAATCACCAAAGAGGTAATCTGCACCAATATGGTAATCTGCACTGACTGCTGGACACTTTATTGAAGCTAATGTATGTCACAGGCCTGTGTGCACAGAACCTATGTATAAGGCCTGTGTCAAGCCTATACCTATGTATCTGGCCTGTGTGTGTGTATGTATCATGCCAGGCTTATGTGTATGTATCAGGCCAGGCTTATGTGTTAAGCCTATGTGTATGTATCAGACCTGTGCACCCAAAGGCTATATGTTAGGCTTATGTGTCAAGCCTATGTGTATGTATTGAGCCTGTGTGCCCAAAGCTTATGTGTTGGACATGTGTGTCCAGAGCCTATGTGCCAAACTTGTGTATTGGGCCTGTGTGCCCAAAACCTATGTCTCCCTCAGCCTAGGGGGTGGAATGTAAGCTACACGGTTGTGCTTTGGTCAAGGAAGAGGTCGAGGTAAATATCCAGGCCAGGATGACTCAGCAAGTTTAGGGTGCAGGCGCAGACTCCACTTATTATATAACCTGTTTTGTGTAAACTTATACTTGGCTCTCAGGCACTATTGTTTGAAAAGTGTAACTGCCCTGACACTGTATAGGCTCAGTTCTCACTGGTGTCCAGAGAGAGAGTAACACTGCTTAGCCCTGTAGAGCTGGTCGCCTTGAAGGTGGGCAGGGGGGAGCCAGGAACTGGCTTGTGCCTAGAGGGAGAGTTAAGCTGCTGACCCTGTAGTTGGCCTTGCAGGTCAGGGAGTGCAGCTGCAAGTGTGGGGGCAGCAGGAGCCACAGAACTGGCTGCTGAGAGGAGCCACAGAGCCAGAGCAGATAGCCAAGATAAATGCAGACAGTGTTAGAGAGTTGCTAATGAGAGAGCTGCTGAATAAAGCCATATTCCACCTGCCTACGGCCTCCCAAGTGTTCTTTCGGCTATCTGCCCATCCACCCACTCCCCTCAGACCTCAGCTGGGGCTACAGCCTGACCCTGAACCTGACATTTGGCATAGTCGTGAGCCTAACAGTGAATAAAGTTTCTATTTTATATTTTGTGCATTAAAATTCTTAACTGCTTGAGTCAAAAGGCAAAGAAAACCAATATGTAAACAAGTTTTAAGAGTCTTCTGAGTGCAAGAAGAAAGGAAGATATACAATAGTTTTTAAATGTCTTCAATAACAGTAATTCCAAATATTGTATAGATTGTTGGAATTTAGAGTTTATTTTAATATATAAAGTATGGAATATATAATATATAATATATATATATGGAATATTTAATGTATAAAGTATGGAATTTAGAGTTTATTTTAATATATAAAATATGGCTTTATTCAGCAGCTCTCTCAGCAGCTCTCTCACGCTGTCCGCATTTATCTTGGCTATCTGCTATATACATTGCATATATAAATTCATAATTTTGATATTTATATACACATTAGTCCTTACATAAAACAATAAATTTGTTGTATTTAAAGATATACCTAAAAAAATTAGTCTCAGCAAAGGTACTTTCCTCAGATTATGCAGATGGTAATTGAAAGGCAAAATTAAATCCAACTTTTCTCTCCTTGCATGCATTGTTGTTTTCAATATATTTGTTGCCTCATTACACCTCATCTAATTCACAAGAAAATTAGAAATCTTATAGTATTTATTCAGTTTTTAGTATCTCACAGGGTTTTTAAAAATATAGTAGCACAAAGTAGAGTTTGAGTACAACAAAAGACAGAGTCAAATAACATTTGGATACATTGATGACTAATATTCTTTGGCAATGATGGTAATATCCTCTCATCCATTCAGGCTGGGAGTCTCAAATAATCTCATTACTCACATTGTTCACATTCAGTTTTCTCCTCAATTATACCACCAACATCAACTTAATCATTTCCTGCCTTTCAATTCCCATTGCTTTCACTTGACTCATTACTGTTCTACACCACTACAAGGGCATTAGCCTCTGCAGTCGGAATTAACAAAGGGTAGGCATCAAAAGGTGTATGGAAGTCAAATATGTTACAGATGTATTGTGTTAAGTTGATGTGCCTTCTGTTAAGCAAACGTGTATCCTGTTAAGTTGAATGAGCCTCCCATTAGCTTCAATGTGTTCAGATGGGTCCTGATAGGATGATAAATACCACTTAAGTCTTGAATACCAGCTAGGGGAAAGTTGCTGGGCACATCATTGGAACTCTTGCCCTTAGTTCAAATATCTCTGAGACTTGGGGGATACTAGGAATTAATATAACAAAGACACATCTATTCTAAGTTTCAGGTGCTGTGTCTAAGATTAGTAAACTGTGGAATCATGCAGTCATATTCTAAAGAGTAGTTGATGAAAGTGATGAAACTGTAATATGTGTAGAACAACAAACAGACTCCATTTGTAACAAGTTTTTAATTTGTCTCCTACTGGACAATTTTTAATCTTACACACAGCTGATAATGGAGTCTATTTGTAGCTACTGGAGACAGAATGACAAATAAGACATGGTCTCTGCTTTGAAGAATATAGAGATGGATGGACAGTATACACTTCCAACAATCAAATGCAATGTGAAGTGTGCTGCAATAGAACTATGCACCAATTTGCTTACCTGTGAGTAACTCAACTGATCTTATTGTGTAAGGTTACAGAAAAGGAATCCATAAAAGATCATGGAGAGGTCAATTTTTCATTGTAATTATTATAATCATTATGACTTATGAAACAATGAAAAAGTGGTGAAATATGTTAGAAAGATGTAAAAAATACATGTTAAAATTTATGTGTCAATAGTATAGCACGTTCAAAGAAAATAGAGAAGTTCTCTGTGCCTGGAGCCTTATGGATAGAAAAGAGAAAGGGGAAAAAAATGGAGAGAAAGTATGAGCTTCTGAAAGGGTATATTGCTGTGGGTAGTAGAGTATCATTATAGATTGTTATGGAATATCATGAATAGTTGTTTGTATTAAAGGGACAACACTATCACTATTAAGAGAACTCAGAGAGATGTGCAGAGGTATTAAAAGCAAGTAAATGGGTTAGGGGTCTCTAGTAATAGTCACAAAGTTGAGTAAGAATGGGGAAAATAATTGATACATTACTTTGTGGAATAATCATGTTAGGATGTGTTCTTTAGGAGATATTGAATACATCCAGGATGATATTGAAGTTCCAGATTTGTTTTAATTGAATGCATGAGAGTAAAACTAATGGAGAGTTAATGTAGAAAGCAGAGGTTAGGGAAGTGATTATATGGTCAATTTTAGAAAGATTCAGCTTGAAATGTTTAGAGAATTTTTTTTTCAAATCTTTTCTGTTGGAATAATGTCAGGTTTGCAGAAAAGTCACAGGATATTACAAAGTTTTCATATACCTTTCACTCAGCTTCCCCTAATATAAACATATTTTATTAATTGTATATATTTTCCATTACTTTGGAAACAAAGTACCACAAATTTAATGGCTTATACCAACACAAATTTATTAACTTATAGTTCACATGTCCAAAATGGGTCTCACTAGGCCGACATCACATTATTACCAGAGTTACTAACCTTTCTGGAGGCTCTAGGGGATAATCCAAATTCTTGTTTTGCCAGCTTATGGACAACCACCTTCCATTCTTGGTTTGTGGCCCCCTTTCATCTTCAAAGCGAGCAAGGGCCAGTTGCATTACTCTCATCAACAGTTTCTCATATCACATTAATCTAACATAGTGTATTTTACCTTCTTTTTCCACATTTGCGGAACATGAAATTACATTGGGCCCAACTGGGTAAACCAAGATCATCTACCAATTTAATGCCAATGTATTAGCGAATCTGAATTCTATTCACTATCTTAATTCCCTGTGTCATGTAGCTTCATATATTTACAGAAGGTTGCAGGGATTAAGAGAGAGATATCTTTGGAGGGTAATTATTCTTCCTACCATGGTTCTTTGGTCAAAGGGATTTTTTTGCATTTCACCAATTTTTCTATTATGGCTTCTCAGCACTATTTTATGTACAGCAGGTGAAGCCACATTGGTACCCTGCCCAAACATGTTTGGTTTCAATATTTTCGTAAAATGAATTTTAAATTATAGGATGGCTATTTACAATTCTCATCTTCTATGAATCCTCCCCACATGAAATATCCCAACCACTCTAAGAGCTGTGATGTCATAGAAGAACACGCAATATAAAGATAATCAAAACTCTCTTATTTTAAAACATAATAATTCTGAATAATGAGTTAATTTGGGATTTTCTTTTCTCTTCAGTATTCATTTTTTTTAACCTATAGGAAACACTCATCACTACTTTTATTGTTCCACTCGAATTCATCATTTTTCTCTGGCTTACTCAATAGCTGCCCTTCCTACTAAAGTGATTGCCCATCACACTATGTCTTCCACACAATGGCTCAAAGTATCTTTTTTAATGTATTGTGTTCTTTCCCCAATCTTCCAATGGCTTCCATTCACAATAAGAATAAAATTGTACCTTTCTGTCCTGAACTGAAAGACTGAACACGATCTTGCTCATCTTCCAGACCTTATCTTTCACCACCATCTGCCTGGTTTATTCTACTCCTCAAGTTCACCAAAAGCGTGCTGCCCTCAAGTTTTTCTACCTACTGTTTCTTCTGCTTGGAATATTCTTCCTCTAGGTATGTATAGACTTGTTCCTTATTCCTTACACTTTCTGTTCAAATGTCACCTTTTTGTAAGATTGTGAAAAAAAAAAGATCTAAAATTAAAAGCCCTACAAAAAATACCAATATTTTCTTTCCTCTTCCCTTTAATAAAATATCATTTAGTACTATTTGAATATTAGCTTTAAATATTAGTTACAATTAAAGCTAATCACATGCAATCAATATAATAGTTAATACTTTTCAATCATTTGAAGGTTTCTAGATGTCAAGAATTTTTCTAAGCATTTTAGATGTATTAAATCATTTGTTTCCAGAAATTCTCTGAGCTAAACACCATATTTATCTTCATTCTACAGATAAGTAAACTGAGTCTCAAAAATAAAGATTATTTTCCTGAGACTAGATAGCCATTTAATGGAAATGCCATCCAACCTTAGTGGGATGTTTCTAGATTACATAATGCTCACCCTTGTCTTATGTAGTCTCTGATATAGGCATTTTTTAAAAACAACTTTAAGAACTCTTTCAAAAATATATTTAAAATAAGTTATCTCTATAGCCATTTCTACAGGGATATTTAGGTAAGTGAAACTTAGGACACTTCTAAACTCTACCTTCATTTCTTTCAACATCTGAAACCTCTGCTTCATGCAATTACTTTTACCCAACTCAATTCTGGCTCTTTTATTTGTACTCTCAATTAATGTACATGCAGTCTGTCTGAAAGTCTCTTGTGTGTACTTCTTTGTCTAATTTTTATGTCTAATACAGGTAATTTGTGTTCCATGGCTTTTATCTTTCTCTGAAGCTTACCACTTGCATAAACAATGTACACTACTTTCTTTTTATGTCTTCATATCTCCATTAATTACATTCTCACCATCTGAAAGGAATATTCTATATGTCTCTGTTGTGGACTAAACTGTGTCCTGCTAAGCTTCTTATGTTGAAGTCCTAACTCCCAATGTTAATGTATTTAAAGATGAGGCGTATAAAGATATATTTAAGTTTAAATGAGGCCATAATTTGGGGCCCCAAATTTATAAAACTGGTGTCTATATGTGAATAAGAAGATACTGAGAGCTTCTTATGTTGAAGTCCTAACTCCCAATGCTAATGTAATTAGAGATGGGGTTTATAAAGATACATTTAAGTTTAAATGAGGCCATAATTTTAGGGCCCTAAATTTATAAAAACTGGTGTCTATATATGAATAAGAAGGTACTGAGATATTTCTATGTGTATGCACAGAAAAGAGGTCACATAAAGACACAGTGAGAAGGCAGCCATCTCCACAGCAGGAAGAGAAGCCTCACCAAAACCAAATCAGATGCCTCCTTAATTTTGAACTTCTAGCTTCCAGAACAGTGACAAAATTATTTTTTTATTGTTTAAGCCATCCAGTCTATGTTATTTTGTTATGGCAGCCTGAGCAGACTACAAAACGCTATTGAATTAAATTGTCATATCTTGGGTAGCTAGAAACCCAGGAACCTATATTAAGACAACATTCTACATGTGGGTCCACACCTCTTCTGAAATCCCTGCTGCCTTTTGAGATTTCAAAAGTGAGTAAGTCACATGCCAATAATAGTACCCCTTGTTATAACAAAAATATTTTGTATTACCTAATAATATAAGCAAAGGAACTTATATTTGTATTGGCAAATTTTTTCAGCGGTCCCCAGATACAGCTCCTTGCTCTTTGGTGCACAGCAGTGAGAATTGTCTTGTAAAGGTAGCCCTTGCTGAAGCTGAGCATCAAGTTGCTAAAGTACAACCAATTTGTAACCACCCCCTCTCCTTTAGCAGTTACATTTATACCCAGATTTTTATATCTTTTGTTGATATTACATCCCACAAGATGGCACATGACAGGAAATAGTTATAATCTTAGAAACATAGACTCTTGTGAGTCATAGGTACAGTTTTCATCCCTATGAATTGTTATATCCAAAGGAATTAAACCTCAGGCAACCCCTAACTAATTTTTCATTTTAAAAAGTTCCAAAAAAGCACATAATTTCTCTAGGTTAGACATGAAAAAGTTAGATCCTGTTTGTTGAATGAACATGTTGGCAGAAATGATGGTTAATCTAATGACCTGTGTTATAACTTCATAAAAAGTAAATTGTCGACTACTTTGGAGAAATATTTAAAAATCCATGCGTGATTTGAAAAAAGATCTAATGTAGGTTATGTTCTTTTTTTTTTTTTTTTTGAGACAGAGTCTCACTCTGTCACCCAGGCTAGAGTGTAGTGGCGCGATCTCTGCTGACTGCAACCTCCGCCTCCTGGGTTCAAGCGATTCTCCTGCCTCAGCCTCCTAAGTAGCTGGGATTACAGGTGTGCGCCACCATGCCCGGCTAATTTTTTTATTTTTAGTAGAGACAGGGTTTCACCATGTTGGTCAGGCTGGTCTCGAGCTCCTGACCTTGTGATCCACCTGCCTCGGCCTCCCAAAGTGCTGGGAATACAGGCGTGAGCCACCACGCCTGGCGAATGTGAGTTATATTCTTAAATGTTCTGTTTTTATGTTTCTCACGGGAAATAATCATTTTCACTCAAAACTATATTGTTCCGTAGTTATTGGCTTAAAGTATCCTCTTAGTGACAAGATAATTTCTTCACTCATTAAACTGAAGTGTTCTTAGCACTTAATATCCAAACTTACAATACCTGCAAGCATGCTCTTTCAGTGATATTAGATTTCTCAACACCATCAGACAGGCCTTTCTTTTTTTTTTTTTTTTTTGAGACGGAGTCTCATTCTGTCACCCAGGCTGGAGTGCAGTGGTGCAATCTCGGCTCACTGCAACCTCCGCCTCCCTGGTTCACGCCATTCTCCTGCCTCAGCCTCCTGATTAGCTGGGACTACAGGAGCCTGCCACCACTCCTGGCTAATTTTTGTATTTTTAGTAGAGACAGGGTTTCACCATGTTGGTCAGGCTGGTCTCGAACTCCCGACCTTGTGATCCGCCTGCCTTAGGCTCCCAAAGTGCTGGGATTACAGGCATGAGCCATCGCACCCGCCCCAGCCAGGCCTTTCTAATGTAGCATCAAAATACATTACATAGCATGTGGTTCATTTTAAGTCAGCCTTTTGTATTTGAACAACACCTTGTACCCTGATGAAACAAAACATATCCTAACATTACTATAAAATATCTCTAATAGGAAATATATTTCTTGACTCAGAAAAAACCTGCGACACCTTTCCTAAAACTGTTCTTAGTGGCTGGTTGTATCCAAGTTCAGTTTCACTAAGATTCACCATGGCAGTTCACCAAGGCCTCTATGAATAAATGCAGAGGAAAAATCATCACAAAAGTTTCCTAGAGTCTAAGTTGGCCAGAGGAGAGATAACTCAACACAAGTATGATTTAGACAAAGTATGTTTGGCATGCTCATTATATCTCTGTACCCTTTCACCTTACAGAATCTGCATCTATCCTCTATGAGCTCCTGTCTTCCTCATGTTCTTTGTATGGATGAAGTAGACATGAAAAGTCACTAGTATTTCTGTTTCATTTGAATATCTTCCCAAGAAAAATTGAAGGGAACTTCTGGCTAATAAGGATGAATTATTAGTCCATTTAACTATCCTTCTTTTCAAGTCTGACCTGAATATAAAAATGCAAATAAAACTGGAGGGGGAAGAGGCCTGGCATTGTCAAAAGAAGCAGAGTTAAAAAACAAACAAACAAACAAACAAACAAAAACAGAAGCAGAGGGAAACAGAGAAATCCATGCAGGAGAACTTTCGAAAAATTTGTTCTAGATATTGTGTAGCTACTACTGGGTTAGGGAAAAAGCTAATGAACCAATAATTCCCTGTAATTAAAAACAGCTTGCTTGATAGGAGATACCCATTCCAAAATATCCTTACTAGTCCAGTTCTAACTCTAAGGAACAAGGATCAACAGCAAGGGTATAGAATTTATCATGATCTATGTAAGTGTTCCTGGTAGCACTTCTACCTAGCCTAAATTTGATCCAACTATACATATAAGGCAAAGAGCTAGAAACAAAGATAATGAATTATACCATAGAAATGTAGGAATATTGTCTTAGTTTATTGTCAGCTCTTATAACAAAAATTATGAATATAGGATAAAACTTTCTGAGATAATTAAACCAATTTATTTTTCTGCGAGTTAACCTAATTACTATTTTAAGACTTCATTTAGGCTGGATTAATTTCTCCTCTTTGAGTAAACTCAATCAGTTTGGAGTGAGACTTGCGCTCTTTCTGTTATCTTCCTCTGGTTAAAGATAAGGGGCAAGAGTTTACATTAAGGCATTGAGAAAGGAGATAGTGTCTTGACCAGTGCCTCTGAAACAATAGAGTGTATTTAAATCACCCCAGATTATTACAGAGCAAATTCTGATTAAATGGATTGGAATGGAACTTGAGAGTTCTCATTTCTTAGAAGTGAAGAAGCCACTGATGCAGGTGGGCAAGACCTTACTTTGAGTAGCAAAAGACTCAAGTCTCTATCATATATCCAACTATGACTCCAGGAGTTGTTCTATTAAATATTGCATTTTACTTACAGATATGGCAATCTGCCTCATTGAAAATAAAAATATTCTCTGTTTTCCCTCTAGGTCTCTATTTCTAGGGAGTCTCGGTATGGTAACCATATATCTTGGTTTTATTAGAATAGTATATGCCAGTTGAGCCACCTTAATTACTAATAGTGCCCTCATCATACTTGAAAGCACCTGAGTTGGGCTGGTATATCATATTGCTATCTTAGACCTAGGCCTTTTTATGCTACAGAGTCCCCTCATCACAAATTTGTAATTGCTATAGAATAATTGTTTCTTTCCTCAGTGCAATTCTGTGTCTTCTTCATTTTCTCCAGGAAATTTAGTTACTTGGCGAAGCCACCGTGATGCTGGGTAAATTCCCTCTCAGCTTTTCTGAGAGAAAAGGAGGAACAGCCTAATGTATTTTGGGGTTCTCAAATGGTTATTGGAAACTATCACACTGCTTAAGAACTAAACCTGTCATTAAATTAGTGAGCGAGGAGAAGAGCTACTTGGCAAAAGTCCTTCTAAATCTTTCTTTATTTTCTAATATATATTGTATATCTCTGACATTATTTAGTCTGTCAAGGACAGGATATGGGTGATAGGAGGATAAAATGTCTGATCAATTACACTTTCAAAATATACTTTTATCTAGAATTTGTTTTTGAATTCTAAAGGGCTATAATTCATTGTCTATTTATTTGGTCCCTGAAAACTCCCTTCTCGGGGCAGCTTCACATCATGAAACTAAATGAGATGGGAGAGCAGAAATCTAAACACAATCTGTTGTAAACATATAAATGGGACTTAAACTCCAAAACACAAGACTGATTTAATAATGTCACTACTTACATCTCTGTATTTTACCAGTTTCCCAAAAGTTATGAAATTTTTAAATAGAAAAAATCTGTTACAATCAAAATTTAATAGCATCTATATGATGTAGAAATTTTGAATAAAAAAACCCACATGAATGATTTAAATCTAATTAAATATTGTTACAAAGGAAAATTACATTTCCTTTTGTGAAAATAAATACAGTAAAAGCAACAGATATGCAGCAATACAACCAATTTTTTAAAATGAGATTCTCAAAAATCAGACTTTTTAAGAACCTAAACAGTTGCACCAACAAACAATATATTTACATTAATATTTAAGTTTCAATGATCTCATATAAAATTAGACAGTCATAAACCATATAGTATATGAATGCAGGATAGAGTACATAAAATGAAAAATATCAATACTAAGTTAAAAATCAGAATTGAGTTATTGATTTAGATGTTTCAAAATCAAAATCAAAAGAGGGAAAATGAAAACGTTCCATGAAACTTAAAGATATGCACAAAAAAAGAAAACAAAAAATGTGTAAGTGATCACACTGCTGATGGGAATGTAAACTAGTACAACTACTATGGAAAACAGTGTGGAGATTCCTTAAAGAACTAAAGGTAGAACTGCCATTTGATCCAGCAATTCCACTACTGAATATCTACCCAGAGGAAAAGAAGTCATTATACGAAAAAGATACTTGCTCACAGATGTTTATAGCAGCACAATTCACAATTGCAAAAATGTGAAACCAACCGAAATTCCCATCAATCAATGAATGGATAAAGAAACTGTGAGACATAAATAGATAGATAAATAGATAGATACACACACAATGGAATACTATGTACTATTGCATGTGTGTGTATACATATATACACACAATGGAATATATATATACACACAATATACTATATATATATATATATATATATATATATATATATATATATATATATACATACACACACAATGGAATACTACTCAGCCATAAAAATGAATGAATTAATGGCATTTGCAGCAACCTGGATGTGATTGGAGAGTATTATTCTAAGTGAAGTAACTCAAGAATGGAAAACCAAACATCATATGTTCTCACTCATAAGTGGGAGCTAAGCTATGAGGATGAAGAGGCATAAGAATGACACAATGGACTCTGGGGACTCAGAAGGAAAGGGTGGGAAGGGAGTGAGGGATAAAAGACTACAAATTGGGCTCAGTGTATACTGCTCAAGAGATGGGTGCACCAAAATCTCACAAATCACCACTAAAGAACTTACTCATGTAAGCTAATACCACCTGTTCCCCCCAAAACCTATGAAATTTAAAAATTTAAAAATTTAAAAAATTAAATTTAAGTTCTGAAAAAATATATATATGCATGAGATTAGTATTCTTTTGAAAAACAATCAAAATTAGAAAGCAGAAGAAAAGAAAATAAACAATGATCCAAGATATATTGAAAAAAAAAGTCTAGCATTCTTGAGCTGAAGAATTTTGAGTTGGCACAATTGTAAAAGCTTACCAAGTACTGCAGAAAAAAATAGCAACATGACTAAACATATTTTGTCAAAAATTTTGAATTTTAAAGATGAGGGAAAAATTCTGTTTTGCCAGGTAGGAAAAAAATACCTATATATGCTGAAAATATTTTGTTCTGCAAAATCAGCTTTAAAAATTTAAGTAGGCAGGGCACAGTGGCTCACGCCTATAATCCCAGCACTTTGGGAGGCCAAGGCGGGTTGATCACGAGGTCAGAAGTTCGAGACCAGCCTGGCCAAAATGGTGAAACCTCGTCTCTACTAAAAATGCAAAAATTAGCCGAGCATGGTGGCAGGCGCCTCTAATCCCAGCTACTCAGGAGGCTGAGACAGGATAATTGCTTGAGAGAAGAAGACAGAGGTTGCAGTGAGCCGAGATTGTACCACTGCAACTCCAGCCTGGGCAACAAGAGAGAAACTCCATCTCAAAAAAAGAAAAAAAAATTAAGTAAAGAAAAAATGGAGAACCACCTATGAAGCTTGGAGAGGAAATGATTATACGCTGTTATTTCCATACTGAAACAATTATTTATGAGACACAGCAAGAATTATTACCATAAATATACCACAAATACAAGTATTACAAGATGAACTACCTCTAGAAAAGGAGACATTGTACTTCCAATTGCCATATTTCTTTACTGGAAAAATCCAAGGAAATAAATAGAGAATTTGGAAACACAAAAGCAATATTAATAATAAGTAAATATAAAATTTTTATGGTAATAAAACATTTGAACAAATGAAAAAAGATGTGACTTATATCACATCTGCAACACAGAGGTTTTTGTTGTGGTTGTTTTGTTTTCTAAATTAACTGAGAATTTAATTAAAATTTCTAAACCGAGAGTTTTTGTAAATATTCAGAAACAGATTTAAGCTTTGTATAGAAAAATAAGTGAATGAGACTGTCAGCATTTAAAAAATAAATAATAAAATGTATATTAGAAATATGTTAAATAAAATAGCATAACATTGATGCAAGAATTTATAGACAGCTCAATAGACTAGAATACAAAGACAAGGCTAAACTTTTCAATAATTTTGTTTTCATAAAAGTGACATTCAAATCCAAGGTTATTGAAATAAAGATTCAATAAATGGTCTAAAGAAAAACATTGTTGAATTTTCTTTTAAAAGTTGATTTATCTTAAAGTAATTCATACCTTAATATTGAATTATTTAAAGACCTAAAAGTAAAAGTTATATCTTGAGAAAGATGAGGAAAATGACTATTGCTGTTGGGAAGAATTTTTATTTCAAAGCATAAAACAGAGGAAATGATGATGGAACGATTTTTTTCACGTAGGCAGGAATCATTTTTATCCTTCAAACACTGTTGAACAAAATGTTAAGTGTGCCCTGAAAACAGAGGAGAAACTACAACATGTCAACTTTTAATTAGGTGGTTTAGCTTCTAAAATAAACACAGAAACATTGTGGCTTAGTACCAAATTTATTCCATTCTCTGCTCAAAGTAGGTGTGTGGGTGGTGTCTGCTCAAAGTAGGTGTGTGTGGGGTGCCTCCATTGAATGCAGATATTCATGAACCCATTATCCTTCAACCTTGTGGTTTCATAAGCCTTCTTTTGCCTCAGTTTTTAGCCTACAGGTATAGATAACAATTGGATAGAAAATTTTCTTAACAACCTCTTCAAATTAATTGACATTGTTTTCCGTCACAATTCATATTTGGAAAACAGCTTCATGTTCCAAATAGCTTCAAGAGAGGTGGAAAATACCTATAGTAGCTTTTGCAGGAACAGGAGAGCTTGCATATTGATAACACCAGCACTAGTGGTTTCTAGCACATAATATTTAGATTGTGTTGATGCATTTTATAGGCAGTGAGTTTAGTAGACTTTTCTGAGAGGCAGCTATCTAAGTGTAAAGTATGTCTATAAACTAGCTATGTAACCTTGGGCATGGGGTTTAACCTGTCTTAGTTTCCAGTTTGCTCATCTACAAAATGAGGAAAATCATAATATCAAATTCAGTGACTTGTTTTGAAGGAATAGTAAAATATACATGGAAAATTTCAGCATAATGTTCATTATATGTACACTATTATATTATTAGATTAATATCATGAGACTTCCTATCAGCATAAAAATAAAAATAACTAACAGAGCCTTAAAAAATATATAGACCTCTGAGCAACTGAGAGATATCAATGATCAATTTGTAAATAAAACATTTAAGTGCAATTGGAATAAAAATAAAAATGCCACTTTTATTTTTCTCATCCAAATTATAGGGATTGTCATTAACAAATATTATTTTTTTCAACTTTTTTGGGGTATTGGCAAATAAAAAATGTATTTAAGATGTACAACTTTATGTTAGATACATGTATGCATTATGAAATGATCTCCATCATTAAGCTGGTTAATATATCCATCACCTCACAAAGTTACCATTGTTTTTGGTGTGTGATGAGAACAGTTAAGATCTACTCACTTATCAAAATTCCAGTATACAATACAACATTATTAGCTGTAGTCATCATCCTGTACATTAGATCTCCAGAATTTATTCATCTTGAATAACAGAAATTTGTACCTTTGACTAACATGTCCCCGGTTCCCCCAATCATTATCTGCTGGCAATCACCATTCTACTGTGTGCTTTTATGAGTTCAACTATTTTAGATTCCACACATAATTGCAGTCATGCGGTATTTGCTTTTCTGTGTCTGGATTATTTGGTTTTGACTAATGTCCTCCAGTTTCATCTATTCAGTCACAAATGGCAGGATTTTCTTTTATTAAACTCTGATTAACATTCCATTGAATATGCATATAGACCACACTTTATTTGTCTACTCATCCATTGATGGACATTTACCTGTTTCCATGTCTTAGATATTTAGACTAATGCTGTAATAAACATGAGGGTGCACAAATATCTCAGAGATGATGAATTATTTTATTTTGTATATTCATCCGGAAGTGTGGTTGCTGGATCATATGGTAGTTCTATTTTAAAATTTTTTAGGAAACTTCATATTATTTTTTATAATGGCTGTATCGATTTTCTTTCCTACCAAGAGTGTGAAAGGGTTCCCTCTTCTCCCCATTCTCACCCACCAACACTTACTTTGCCTTTTAATAATAGCCATTTTAAAAGGTGTGAGGCGATATCTCATTGTAGTTTAGATTTACATTTCCCTGATGATTAGTGATGTTGAGCACTTCTTCAAAAACCTGTTGACGATTGTGTGTCTTCTTTTAAGAAATATCTATCCAGATCCTTAGATCAATTTTTAATCAGGTTATTGCTTTATTTGCTATTGAATTCTTTGTGTTACTTATATATTTGGGATATTAACCCCTATCAGATATATAGTTTACAAACATTTTCTCCCATTCCATGAGTTGCCTTTTTACTCTGTTGATTGTTTTATTTGCTTTGTAAAAAGTTTTTATTTGAATCAATCCCCCTTGTCTATTTTTGCTTTTGTTGCCTGTACTTTTGGCCTCATATTCAAAAATAAATACCGAGACTAATGTCAAGATGCATTTTCCTATGTTTTCTTTCTTTTGTTTTCTCTGAGGCAGAGTCACACTGTGTTTCCCAGGCTAGAGGACAATGGGGAGATCTTGGCTTATTGCAGCCTTGACCTTCATGGTTCAAATGATCCTCCTGCCTCAGCCTCCTAGTTGGGACTACAGGTGTGCACCACCATGTGTGGCTAATTTTTTGTATTTTTGGTAGAGACGGGGTTTCACCCGTTTCCCAGGCTGGTCTCAATCTCCTGGGCTCAAGTGATCCATCAGCCTTCCCCCCTTGAAGTGCTGGGATTACAGGCATGAGCCACCATGCCCAGCCCTCTTTTAGCAGTTTTATGAATTAAGGTCTTACACTTAAGTCTTTAATTCACCTTGAATTGATTTTCTTATATGGTGTGAGATAAGGGTCCAGTTTCATTATTTTGCATGTGAATATCCAGTTTTCCCAGGACCTTTTATTTAAGAGACTATCCTTTTCCCTTTGTGTGTTTAGCACCCTTTACAAGAGATAGTTGACTATAAATATATGGATTTATTTCTGGACTCTGTTATGTTCCATTGACCTAGATGTCCATTTTTTGCCAGTATTTTACTGTTTTTGTAGCAGGACAAGCTGCAGACAAAACCCCTTAGACACTGAGTTAAAGAAGGAAGGGCTTTATTTGGCCGGGAGCTTCGGCAAGACTCATGTCTCCAACAAGCGAGCTCCCGAGTGAGCAATTCTTGTCCCTTTTAAGGGCTTACAATTCTAAGGGGGTCCGTGTGAGAGAATCATGATTGATTGAGCAAGCAGGGGGTATGTGACCGGGGGCTGCACGCACCAGTAATCAGAATGGAACAGAACAGGACAGAGATTTTCACAGTGCTTTTCCATGCAATGTCTGGAATATATGGATAACATAACCGGTTAGGTCAGGGGTCGATCTTTAACCAGGCCCAGGGCGTGGCGCCGGGCTGTCTGCCTGTGGATTTCATTTTTGCCTTTTAGTTTTTACTTCTTCTTTCTTTGGAAGCAGAAATTGGGCATAAGACAATATGAGGGGTGGTCTCCTCCCTTATTCTGATTATTGTAGTTTTGTATTGTATTTTGAAATAAGGATGTGTGGTGTCTCCAGCTTTGTTTTGTTCAAGGTTACTTCGGGTATTTGGGGTCTTGTTTTTTTAGATGTTTTTCTATTTCTGGAAATAATGTTATTGGAATTCTGATCGGAATTGCATTAAATCTGTAGATCAGTATGCATACTAAAACATTTTTAAAGTATTAATTCTCTTCTAAACCATTTACAGAGGATGTCTTTCCATTTATGTGAGTCTTCTTTAGTTTCCTTCAACAATGTATTATAATTTTCAGTGTATAAATATTTCACCTCTTTGGTTAAGCTGATTTCTAAGTATTTTGTTATTTTTGTTGCTATTGTCCGTGGTATATTTTGATAGCTCATTGTTTGTGTATAGAAACATAGCTAAATTTTGTATGTTTAATTTGTATGCTGCAACTTAACTGGATTTTTTTATTAGTTCTAACATTAATTGTTGTTGACTATTTAGGATTTTCCTACATATATACTCATGTCATCTGAGAGAGATAATTTTAATTCTTCCTTTCCAATTTGGGTGCCTTTTATGTATTTTTTTTCTGTCTTTCTCTGGCTAAGACTTACAGTACTATCTGCAATAGAAGTGGTGAGAATGTATATTCTTGCCTTGTACAAGATTGCAGAAGAAAAGCTCTCAATTTTTCCCAAAGTTGTTTATGATTTTAACACTGGGCTTTTCATATATGGTCTTTATTGCATTGAAATAAGTTCCTTCTATACCTATTTTGTTGAGAGTTTGGTGAATATACATAGAATTTTGTCAAATGCCTTTTATAAATCTACTAAGATAATAATGTCATTTTTATGTTTCATTATGTTAATGTGGCCCATTAGATTGACTGATTTGTGTATGCGGAACCTTTCTGCATCCTAGAAATAAATCCCACTTGGTCATGGTGTATAATCCCTTTAATGTGCTGTTGCATTTGGTTTGCTAGCATTATGTTGTGGATATTTGTATGAATGTTAGTTATTCATAATGGTCTGCTTTCCTTTCTTGTGGAGTCTTTCTCTAGCTTTGGGATGGGTACTAATGACCTCACAAAATGAGTTTGAATGTGTTCCCTTTGCTGTTTTGGGGGAGTGTTTAAGAAGAATTAGTATCAATTATTCTTTGAATGTTAGATAGAATTTACCCATCTAGCCATTGAGTCTTGAAGTTTTCTTTATTTGGAGATTTTTGCTTAATCATTTCATCGTCTCTTATTTGCTTTGTTCAGGCCTTCAATTTATTCTTCATTCAGTTTTAGTATATTGTACGTTTCTAGAAATTTATCCATCCATTCTATTTTGTCAACTTTTTTGAGATATAATTGTTCCTAATAGGTCCTTCTGGTCCTTATTATATCTGAGACATCTGTTGTAACGTATTGTCTTTCATTTCTGTTTTTATTTCCTTTTGTCTTCTTTCTTTATTAAAGAATTTGTCTTTTTTTTTTAAAAAAACAGTAATTTTGCTCATTTTTCTGTTGTCCTATTATTTATTTATTTCTGCTGTAATCTTTAGTATTTCTCTTCTGCTGACTTGGTCCTAGTTTCTTCTTTTTCTAGTTCCTTGATGTATAGAGTTTGATTATTTATTTGATATATTTATTCATTTTAATGTGGGTGGTTATTGCTGTAAACTTCCTTCCTAGAATCACTTTTGCTGTGCCTCATATATTTCGGTAAGTTTTGTTTTAATTTTCACTTTGTCTAGGGATTTTTTTAAATTTCTGTATATATGGATTTTATAATAGAAGTCTTTTGTGAATACTCACTGTTGGTTAAGGTCTACAAAAATTCCCTCACGTAGTTATTGTATGTAATAATTTAAGCCAATGCTCTTGGCCAGACACCATAATAAATAGTAAATTCCCATTCACAGAGAAGAGCAAGGTAAACACAAGCTCTACTCTCTTATCCTTATGCTCTAATTAGAGAAACAAAAAATTGTATAAATTAAAAGAGAATATTCAAAACAAATAAAAAACTAGATGAAGCAATGGCCAATTATATTGATAAGGAAGCAAGGTTCCACTAGGGGGTCACAGAAAATATTTGCCATCATAGGATTATTTACGTTTATATCTCCAAAAGTAAAGAAAAGAATAGGCAAAAGTCTAGAAGACTACTCCAGGTAAAGGAAGTGAGTAGCCAGGGCAAGACATTGGTGCTTTAGATGGACTAGCGTGTTCTAGAAACATATAAAGAATGTTGTAACTGGAGCTGAGTGAGGAAGGGCAAGTATTCAGAGATGAAGTTGGAGAGAGAAGCTGGACCTGGATCACCAGGCCATGTTAAGGAGTTTAGATTGTATTCAAAATCTAATGGAAAGCTATTACAAGATTTAAAGGGTGTGACCAACATGACGTAAATTACATTTAAAAAAATCACTCCACAGTAAAGAATGTATTGGAAAGTCACTGGAGAAAGCAGTTAAAAGTCCATGGCAACAGTCCAAGAATTAATTGTGACTTGGACAAGAGTGGTATCAGCAGAGATGGAGAGAAGGAGAATGAATCAGTATATTGCAGAGTCAGAAAGGACAAGGTTTTCTGCTGAATTGGTTGTGAGTGGTCAGAGGGTGGAGGAAACCATGACTGTTATTCTTGACTTTGGTATCTGGGTAGATTTTATTGCTCTTTACTAAGAATATACTGGTGAACCACTCTGAAGTAAAAATCAAGAACATTATTTTAGAGATTGTTTTACCTAGCTTAGACGACCATAACACAAAATATCATAGACTGGGTGGCTTAAACAACAGAAAATTATTTCTAACCATTCTGGAGACTGAGATGTCTAAGATCAAACCACAATGTAGGTTTTATCATCAGGCCTCTTCTCTTGGCTTTTTCACGACAATCCTCTGGGTGGCATTGAACCAACCCAGTTCTCCTCCACTTTCTAATTTGTTGTTCTAAAGAATAACTATAGAATACGCTTGGAACTTAATTTCCTGATATAGGAAAGAGAATGGCCGGAACAGCACATTTGCCCAGCATTTTCTGTGACACCTGATGTATAAACCCCAGGGCATGCTACTCCCTAGACTCCCTCAGCTATGGTGCACGTAGGACATGTGCAGGCAAGACTTTATCCACCCCAGGAAGCTTGCTGAGTCTTGAGGAACTAGCTCAAAATGAATTCTCATTTTCCTTTGCTGCCTATCTGTAAATAATAAACCACTTCATGTAACATGTTTTGTGCATGAATCTTTTGTCCCACTGGACTGAAAGAAGTTGGCAGTCACTACACTGTAAACCAGCTTCACAGCTCATATGTGACTACCATCTCTCTGTGAGCACACATGAACTCTTCTTCATATATATAGTATGAGTGACGGAGAGAGAGAGCACACACTCTCTGGTCTTTTCTTGTAAGAGCATTAATCTCATTATGAAAGTACTAGCCTCATGTCCTCGTATAATTCTAATTACCTCCCAAAAGCCCCACATCCGAATGCTGTTATACTGGGAGGTAGGGCTTCAACATATGAAGTTTAGAAAGTAAACATTCAGTTCATAACAGACATATTAAATTTGAAACAGCTCAAAGACATCAAAGTAGTTGAATCAAGCAAAGCTTATAGATGAATTCGGAATTAACAGAATGGCTCTGGAAGTGCTTTTAGTAATCATGAGCATATATCTATACCATATACATGGGGATGGGAAGAGGTATAGTGAGAGCCCTGAGGCATTTTGATAGTTAGACATCAAGTAGGGTGGAGAGGAGTTAGAAAATAGATGAACAAATAATCACCTTTATTGTCTGAGAAAAGTACACTCATAAAATATCATTAAAACTGGAAGACCATGTTTCAACAGTTAATTGCTTGCAATGCTCTAAGAATTCAAATTTAGATAAGAGGGGAAAATGTCTGTTGTATTAGGCAACAAAAGGTCATTTTTGACCTTAAGAAACAATGATGGCCAGGCGTGGTGGCTCATGCCTGTAATCCCAGCACTTTGGGAGGTCAAGGCGGGCAGATCACCTGAGGTCAGGAGTTCAAGACAAGCCTGGCCAACATGATGAAACCCCATTTCTACTAAAAATACAAAATTTGCTGGGTGTGGTGGTGCACTCCTGTAATTCCAACAACTCAGGAGGCTGATGCAGGAGAATTGCTTGAACCTTGGAAGTGGAGGTTGTAGTGAGCCAAGATCGCGCCACTGTACTACTGCCTGGGCGACAAGAGTGAAACTCTGTCTCATTAAATAAATAAACAAACAAACAAACAATGATGAAAGAGTTCTAAATTTGTATAAATGATTTTTGTTGTGAAAGTCTTATGAATATAAAAGCAATAGCTCATGTAAAATTCAGGGGTAATTTCTTCAAGAATATTATCATCAGTAAAAAATTAGAAATATTTAGAGAGCTTTGTATATAAGCATATTTTTTAGTAATTATAATACACAAAAATGGCAAATTGCATAATATCTGGTAAGAAGGCATTAGATTTAAAATTCACATTTATAAAAGAAAATGCTATATAAAGTTAATAAAATCATGCATTAGAACAATAATTAACTGAGAATAACTTTTGGGGGATTTTTTTGTGTATATATATATGTGTGTATGGGGTGGTGGTGGATATATATATATATTTTATATACATAGTTTTCTAAAATTAAATGTAACAAAATTATATTTGAACTACAGGTTTATATAAATATATATCTCTACCCATCAATCCAACTGGTTGTCCTTTCCTTATTGATTGCATTTTATTGCTTTATATTCTGAACCTAAAATAGGCCAAGGGTGGTGGCTCACTTCTGTAATCCCAATCACTTTTGGAGGCTGAGGTGGGAAGATTGCCTGAGCACAGGCATTCGAGACCAGCCTGAGCAACATAGCTAGACTCTGTCTCTACCCGCCCCCCCAAAAAAAATTAGCTAGTTGTAGTGGCATGCACCTGTGGCCCCAACTAGTCAGGAAGGTGGGACAGGAGGATCACTTGAGCAGAGGAGTTTGAGGTCGTTGAGGCTTCAGTGAGCTGTGATCACACCACTGCATTGTATTCTAGGTGGCAAAGCAAGGCTGATATGGTTTGGCTCTGTGTCCCCACCCAAATCTCATCTCAAATTATAATCCCTATAATCCCCGGGTGTCAAGGTTGAGACCTGGTGAAAGGTGATTGAACACGGGGGCAGTTTATCCCACGCTGTTCTAATGATAGTGAGAGTTTTCACAAGAGCTTGTGGTTTTATACGGGACTCTTCCTCCTTGGCTCGTTGCTCTGTCTTGCCTGCCACCATGTAAGATGTTCTGTTAATTCTCTCTCGCCTTCTGCCATGATTATAATTCCTAAGAACTCTCCAGCCATGTGGAACTGTGAGTGAATCAAACTTCTTTCCTTTATAAATTACCCAGTCTTGGATATCTCTTTATAGCAGCATGAGAATGGACTAATACTGTAAATTGATACTGGGAGTGGGGCTGTGCTATAAAGATACCAGAAAATGTGGAAATGATTTTGGAACTCTGTACAGGCGGAGGTTGGAAGAGTTTGGAAGGCTCAGAAGAAGATAGAAAGATGTGGGAATGTTTGGAGCTTCCTAGAGACTTATTGACTGGTTTTGACCAAAATACTTATAGTGATATGGACAGCAAAGTCCAAGATGAGGTGGTCTCAGATGGAAATGGGGAACTGGAATAAAGGTCACTCTTGCTATGTTTTAGTAAAGAGACTGGTGGCATTTTTCCCCTGCCCTAAAGATCTGTGGAACTTTGAACTTGAAAGAGATTATCTGAAATTGGGACTTATATTTGAAGGGAGAGAGTAAAAGTTTGGAAAGCAGAGAGTAAAAGTTTGGAAAATTTGCAGCCTGGCCATGTAGTAAAAAACAAAAGCCTCTTTTCTGGGGAGAAATTCAAGCTGGCTGCAGAAATTTGCATAAGTAATGAGGAGCCAAATCTTTGTCAACCACACAATGGGGAAAGTGTCTTCAAGGTATGTCAGAGACCTTCACAGCAGCCTTCCCATTGCAGGCCCAGAGGCCTATGAGGAAAAAAATGGTCCCGTGAGCTGCACTCAGGGCCCCACCTACCCACCCCACTGCTGCTCTGTGCAGCCTTGGGACTTGGCACCTTGTGTCCCAGTTGCTGCCACTCCAGCTCCAGCTGTGGCTAAAATGGGCTAACTTACAGCTCAGGCCGTTGCTTCAGAGGGTGCAAGCCCCAAGCCTTGGTGGCTTCCATGTGCTGTTAGGCCTGTGGGTACACAGAAGTGAAGAATTGAGGTTTGGGAACCTCTGCCTAGATTTCAAAGGATGTACGGAAAGGCCTGAATATCCAGGCAGAAGTTTGCTGCAGGAGCAGAGCCCTCATGGAGAACCTCTGCTAGGGAAGTGACAAAGGGAAATTTGGGATTGGAGCCCCCACACAGAGTCCCCACTGGGCTACTGCCTGGTGATTCTGGGAGAAGAATGCCACTGTCCTGCAGACCCCAGAATGGTAGATTCACCGACAGTTTGAACCATATGCCTGTAAAAGCCACAGGGGCAGAACTACTCAAGACTGTGGGAGCCCACCTATTGCATCAGTGTGACCTGGATGTGGGACATGGAGTCAAAGGAGATCATTTTGGACATTTAAGATTTAATGACTGCCCTGCCTGGTTTCAGACTTGCATGGGGCCTTTAGCCTCTTTGTTTTGGCCAATGTCTCTCATTTGATTGAATGTATTTACCCAACACCTGAAGTAACTAACTTATTTTTGATTTTACAGGCTCATAGGCAGAAGGGACTTGCCTTTGCTCAGATGAGACTTTGGACTGTGGACTTTTGAGTTAATGCCAGAATGAGTTAAGACTTTGGGGGACTATTGGGAAGGCATTATTGATTTTGAAATGTGAAAACACATGAGATTTGGGAGGGGCCAGGGCAGAATAATATGATTTGGCTCTGTGCCCCACCCCCCAAATCTCATCTCGAATTTTAATCCCCATAATCCCCACATGTGAAGAGCAGGACCTAGCAGTAGGTGGTTGGATCATGGGGTCTATTTCTCCCATGCTGTTCTCATAGTAGTGAGTGAGTTCTGACAAGATCTATGGTTTTATAAGGGGCTCTTCCCCCTTCGCTCATTCACTCTCTCTCTTGCCTGCTACCACATAAGATGTGCCTTTGTTTCTCTCTTGCCTTCCGCCATAATTGTAAGTTTCCTGAGGCCTCCCCAGCTATGCAGAACTGTGAGTCAATTAGACCCCTTTCCTTTATTCCTTTATAAATTATCCAGTCTTGGGTATGTCTTTATAGCAGTGTGACAATGAACTGATACAAAGTTCTTGTGTCAAAAAGCTACAATACAATAAAATAAACCTAAAGTGCATGAATTGGATTTATTTGAAATATATTAAAACTTTTTTGGGGCTTAATATGATGTTCCACATGCCTTTGAAAAGATTTCTTTTCTTTCAGTTGTAAAATTCTAGTTGACTTAATTTAATTCAACTAATAAAATCTTCAATATTTTTGCCTGATATTAATTTCTGAAGATTTGTTAAACTTTCAACTACTGTTTATATATTTCTCCTTTTATTTTATTCAGTTGTTGCATTATATATTCTGAGGTGAAAGAGTGTGTGTGTGTGTGTGTGTGTGTGTGTGTATTAAATGTGTATATTCATGGTAGTTAAACTTTTTATCTATATATAAAATTTATTTATCTTTATGTCAATGCCTCATTCTATATTGTTTAATTTTAAAATAGATAACTCCTTTTTTTGTTTATGCTTCTCTGAATAAGCTTAGTTTTCCCGATTTGCTTTATTATGTTTCTTGTGGACAACTCGTTGATAGATGACTTTCTTGATTTGATGGTATATCTCATATTTATTGTAATAAATGTGATATAACATATTTTTCCTTTTATTAATGTTTTCTATATATACTATCTTGTTTTTATTTTCTTTCCTGGCTTTTATTGAAAAGGTTTACTATTCTGTTGATTGGAAGATCATGAATTCTGTTGTAATTGTTGTTACAGTTCCCCTAGCTCACTGAAACTCTGTCTTATGTTTATATTTCTTTATTAATTAAATTTATTAAATTGGATGTAGATATCCTAAGCACTATCCTCAAAAGCACTCTCACTATCCTTCAGCTTCCCTTGCCTCCTCTATCTACCATCATTACTGTTGCACTGCTATTATGTAGAATTTCAAGTCTGAAATTTTGAATATGTTATGTAAAATTTTGTAAAAACAATATTTTCCTTAGCTACCACATATTATTTTTCTTTATATAGACCTTCACCTGAATTTTTTCTTCTTGAAAGTGTATCTATTCCAAGAGTAGTGTGATCATTTGTCTGAGTTTGCATGGGGCAGACCTAGTTTACCTAGATTGATAAGCACAATTATAGATATTCTTTAGTTGATCATTATTCAGCATTTAGCCATGCTAAGAAGTGTCACAGTTTAGATAATAAATTATACAATTACTCTATATAAGAATTTTTCAAAGCAGATAATAAATTAAACATTGTGAGACCTTGGCTTTCTCAGAATAATTTCCATTTTCAATTAAAAGACTTTTACCGACTATAAAATATAGGGTTGAGATTCAGTTCATTGGCAGTTTGAAGATTTTACTTCAGTGTTTCCCCACTTGTCATTGATAATGTTGAAGTCATTTGTTAATCTAAACTCAGTTCTACTGTAAATGATGGGTTCTTGTTTTTTTTCAAAAATATTTTAGATGTGATTTTTACATCATGAAGTTTTAATGAAATATGCTCAGTTGTGGGCTCATTCCTTATCTATCCCGTCTAGTATTTTTCAATCTAAAAATTATCTTTCTTTAATTTTAGAAGAGTTTTAGGTATTTTTTTCATATTTTTCCCTTTCATTTTGATCTTTTTCTGAAATCGAAATTAAATCTTGTTTTTTAGTTCTCTCCTTACAAATTCTGCTGTAAAAAAATCGTATTTTTCTTCTTACTTGATGTATTGCTCAACTTCTTACAGCCTACTCATTCATTTATTTTTCATTACTATATTCATTCTGCTCTATATTACAGCTCTTGGAAGCTTTATTTCATGTTTAATATTTTTATACTCAACATTTCCAATATATTATTTCTTAAAATTGCTTGTTATGTTTTTGTTACTAATATATTTTCCTTTATCTGTTTAGTATTTACCATAATTATTTTAAATTCTCAGACTCTCTGAATTAACATAGAGGGAGATAGAGACAGATAGAGATGATAAAGAAAGAGATAGATCTATCTATCTTGCTTAGAATACAGTATTAGGTTTCTCTTCTAAATTCTTAAAGAAATCGTTCTCAGATATTGGCATAGGTATATTAGATATCTTGGTTGTTACTGTCTACTCAGGGTGAGGAACTCAAAGACTAAGCAACAGCTTCTGTTTCTCAAGTGTTGTGTAAGGAGTGGTCTTAGGGCAGAAACCAGTAGGATCTTAGAAAACCTATGGTCCTACATTTGGGATACTGATATTTCTAAGAACTTTCTCCATCAGCTGTAATCCCTTAGGCAAAAAAAATGCGGGAGGAGATGGAGAAGAACTTGGTGTTTATGCTCTTACAAAATACTGTTCTTACATTTGTGATCTGAAAATATACATTTTCCCACTTGATAAAAAGACAAGATAATGACCATTCCAGGCAAGGTACACCTGAACTGTACACCAATGTGATGCTGCTCAGGCTTCCACTCTGGTTTGTGGTTACTCAACACTCTCTTACCCTGCAACATATCGAAGTCATTCTCACTTTCTTCTCTCAATTATCATTTTCTATGGCATTGGAATTATGGTATTGGGTACAGAGAATGGAGACAGTAGCACTTGTTAACTTGCCGTAATGTCAAGAACTAAAATATAGGTCTCTATCTCTGTTTCCCATGAAGATGCATTCCACACACGTGCACATGCAGACACACATATTTTGCCATTTCTTTATTCCTTGCTGGTGCTATCTTTACCTTATAGTCCAACTCACTAATTTATTATTTCAGCCATATCTATTGTATTATCTGTCCCCTATATGAAATGATATTTCTGATTTTTATTCTTTTATTCCAGGATCCTAAGAACCAAGGATATTCCTGTAGCTTTTTACAACTGTAATGCAATGTTGAGAGTCTCAGTTTCTAAAACTAGCCATGTGTTACCTATTCTTTAACTAGATTTCAGGAATTAGTTATAATAAAACAAACTGTTATCATGGAAAGTAAAACTAAGTCACAAGTTAGGGAGTTTACAAAATGTAAGGATTTCAAAATTTCACATTTTAGTATATGTCTTGCCTTTTTCAGTTTATGGAATTAGGATACTGACTTAAAAAATAAAATAGCTGATCTCTGAGATTCCTTTTGTCTATATTGCCGTACATTCTACTACCTCTAAAATATTTATTAAATTTTTGAATATTGTTTTCTCATTTCATGACTGTTTTTTAGAACAAAATTGCATTAATCAGGAATTAAATAGACTCCGGGATTAATTTTTCTATATAAATTTTATTCTTTGGAGAATTTGGGAAAGTTAATAAAAACTTCTGTGGCTATTCAGACTTGTCAAAGGTGATAAACAGTAATCATCCAGTAAGGAACTAATTAGAATCTCATAGTTCATCTAATTTAATGCCATATTTTACAGATGAGGAGAGCAAGGCCCAGAGAAGTTAAGTGACTCTCTTAAGGTTACATAGCACTTAATAGCATAGCTGGAACCAATGAAGAAATCACTTAAATTTCTTGGTCTGGTACATTATTTAACACAGCCTAGTTAAGTTCAAATGTTGCAGACTAATTTAATTTCTTTTTTTTTTTTTTTTTTTTGAGACGGAGTCTCGCTCTCTCACCCAGCAATTTTATTTCTTTGCACAATGTCAAGCAGTACAAATTAAGATAAGTTATACAAATAGGTTACAAAATTTAACGCAGTTTTTGTGTCTTAATCATCTTTAAAAATCAACTCTAACATTCTTACCTCTCCCAAATTACTTCTGATACTGTGAGCTGGAATCTTTATGACTTGAGTTTGCATAGTCATTTTTAAAAACAACCTACATCCTACTGTTATACTGGTCTCTATGTCCATTTCTTCCCCAATTCAGAAAGCACCCTGAAGGTGAAATTAATACCCCATTTGTTTCATTTTTTCTGCAAGATTAATATCAAACTCAGTAGAAATAGGTTCTGAAATAATTATTGAGTCAATGTACCTATTTGTTTATTTCAAAAATTTATGTTTGATTTCTGATAATCATTCTTATTTAACTTTGAAGTGTTTGCTTAAAATGTAAGGGTTATGGACTGAATTGTATCCCTGAAAGCTCATATGTTGAAGCCGTAACCTCTAGTACCTTAGAATTTGACTGATTTGCCCTTTAAAGAGATCATTAACTTAAAACAAAGCTATTGGGATGGGCCCTAATTAGAATGACTGTTCTAATATGACGAGGAAGAGACACCATGGATGTGTGGGCACAGAGGAAAGATCATGTGAGGACATAGGGAGAAGACAATCATCTTCAAGCCAAAAGGAGGCCTCAGCAGAAACCCACCCTGTTGGCATTTTGATTGTAGACGTCTAGCTTCCAGAATTGCAAGAAAAAATATTCTGTAGTTTAAGACACCCAATTTATAGTATTCTGATATGGCAGTCCAGCAAATTCATAGAGTATTACACTTTAAATATTTTAATTGAGATCAAAAATTTTAATTTTTCTATTTCATATTTTCTTTTAATAAAAGACATTTAGAATATTTCAAAACCAAAATTTGAAATCCACTTGATTTTTCCTGAAGGAAAAAACAATTATTACGAAAGTAGTAATCAGTAATCTGTTCTCCCAAGTGTACAAGACAAATCTTGTTTTATTGGGCTTCACTTCATTGCACTTCACAGATACTATGTTTTTTGCAAATTGTAGGTTTGAGGCAAACAAGAGGATTTAATTATCAGAAATCAAACTTATAAATTGTCACAATTAACAAATACATACATTGACTTAATAACTATTTCAGAAAAAAAAATTTATTATCATTATATCTGTTGTGGTGATCTGTGATCAGTGATCCTTGATATTACTATTGTAATTGTTTTGTGGCACCAGGAACCATGCTTATATAAGATGGCAACATAATCAATAAATGCTAGGTGTGTTCTTACTGCTCCAGTGACTAGCCATTTCCCAATCTCTATTCCTCGCCTTGGGCTACCCTATTCTCTAAGACACAGCTATATAGAAATTAGCCCAATTAGTGACCCTATAATGGATTTTAAGTGTTCAAATGAAAAGTCACACACCACTATCTTTAAAACAATAACTAGAAATGATTAAGATTAGAGAAAGGCATATTGAAAGCTAAGATAGGCTGAAAACTATGATTCTTGCACCAGTTAGCCAAGTTATAAATGCAAAACACAAAGTTATTAAAGGAAACTAAAAGTGCTACTCCATTGAACACAAGATGATAACAAGTCAAACAAACTTATTGATAATATGAAGAATGTTTTAGTGGTCTAGATGGAAGATCAAACCAGCCACAACATTCCCTTACGCAAAACCCTAAAACAGAACAAGATTTTAACTCTTCAATTCTATGAAGGCTGAGAGAGGTGAGGAAGCTGCAAAATAAAATTTTGAAACTAGGCCAGGTGCAGTGGCTCACGCCTGTAATCCCAGCATTTTGGGAAGCGGAGGCGGGCGGATCACCTGAGATCAGGAGTTCAATACCAGTCTGGCCAACATGGTGAAACCCCGTCTCTACTAAAAATACAAAAAATTAGCTGGGTGTGGTGGCGGATGCCTATAATCCCAGCTACTTGGGGAGCTGAGGCAGGAGAATCGCTTGAACCCGGGAGGTGGAGGTTGCAGTGAGCCGAGATCGCACTATTGCACTCCAACCTGGGTAACAAGACCGAAACTCCATCTCAAAAAAAAAAAAAAATTTTTTTTTGAAGCTAACAGAAGTTAGTTCATGAGGTTTAAGGAAAAAAGCCATCTCCATAACATAAAAATGCAAGGTCAAGCAGCAAGTGCTGATGTAGAAGTCGCAGCTCTTTATCTAGAAGATCTAACTAAGATCATTGATTAGGTGGCTACACTCAACGATAGATTTTTAATGTGAACAAAACAGTCTTATATTGGAAACTATGCTATCTACAAATTGTATAGCTAGAGATAATTCAAAGCCTATCTTCAAAGCTTTAAAGGACAGGCTGACACTTTTTGGAGAAGTGCAGCTGGTGACTTTAACTTGTAGTCAATGCTCATTTCCTTGAAAACACTATGGCCCTTAAGAATTATGCTGTCTGTGCTCTATAAATGGAACAAAAAAGCCTGGATGACAACACATCTTTCTACAATATGGTTTACTAAACGTTTTAAGTTCACTGTTGAGACCTACTGCTCAGAAAGAAAAAAAAAAAACCTTTCAAAATATTGCCGCTCGTTGACAATGCACCTGGTCCCCCAACAACTCTGATATAGATGTACAAGGAGATTTATGTTGTTTCATGCCTGCTAAAAAAACATCCATTCTTCAGCCCATGGTCAAGGGGTCATTTCAACTTTCAAGTATTATTATTTAGAAAATACTTTTTTTTTTTTAAAGCTACAGCTGGCATAGGTAGTGATTCCTCTGATGGATTTGGTCAAAGTAAACTGAAGATTTCCTAGAAAATATTTACCATTCTACATGCCATTGAGGAAATTCTTGACATATGGGAAGAGGTCAAAATATCAATACAAATAAGAGTTTGGATGAAGTGGATTCCAACTTTATTGATGACTTTGAGGGGTTCAAGATTTCAGTGGAGGATTTAACTACAGATGTGGTAGAAATAGCAAAATAACTAGAATTAGAAGTGAAGTCTGAAGATGCAACTGCTATTGTTTCTATGCCCTTTCAGTAGATACAGCAAGGGAATGTGTTTGTGCATACTAATCTGTGTGTGTGTGTGTGTGTGTGTGTGTGTGTGTGTATATTATATATGTGTATGTATATGCATATTTATAAACATTTCTGTATTTAACCTTCTGTATGCTGACCTAAATATGATCTCAAACCAATGTATCTTGCCTTTCCTCTTTGATTATATGAAATCTCCCACTCCGTACGTGAGAATAATTATTCTTACCATCTTCCATCCATTTATTTAACTGTTCATTTCTAGTAAAGATGTCCAGTGTCAGTGATACCAGAATTGTTGAACCATATCTCCAATGAAAACAACTTTATCAACTATATATATAATACAGTACTTATATCAATTTCTACAGGCCTTTAATTCCATAGACTCCACTCATTTCCAAGGTTACTTAGATCAGCATCTTACCCCTACTTCTTCAGTGAAGATTTTAATATAATTATAATAAAGTTAGATTATTTTGTCACATTCTACAGAATACTCCAGCTTGAGTTTTTTAAAACTTGCATGTATTAAGGTTTATTCTTTTTGCTGTATAGTTCTATGGATTTTGACAAATGTATAGTGTAATTCACCCACCTTTACTGTATCATACAGAATAGTTTCAGTGCTCTAAAATTTTCTCATTGTTCAAATTATTTTTTGGTCTAGTCACCATGAGTTAAACATAAGACATAATGTGGAGCCCAATTTTCATTAGGAAAGAGAGACTGATCGTTTCAATTAAGAGCAATGACACAAGCAAAAATGTATGAGGACACAATGCATAAAATACATTCAGGAAGAAACTAATAGGCTAGACTTTGAGAAGCACTTGGTTGATTTTACACAGAAGAATTCTTGAGAATTATATTAATCATATAGGTTGCAGCCAAGTGCCCTTAGAAAACCAACCAAATACTTTTAACATTTTATTCTTATGGATTTGAGCTATTAAGGTTTGGGAAAGTAAACTCTCTAGTCTACAAAAACTTTAGCACATACCTAGTTTGAATACCCGTGTAAGAAGCCACTGACTCGTTGTTATCACATAAATAAATATGGCAGGAATCTGGAATTGTATTTCTTTCTAAAAAGGGATGGCAATGAATCATTCTCCTGTGGTTTTCTAAAATTCCTAATTCAGTAAAGATAAATATCACATTTTTCTGATGTTTTCATTTACAATTCTGTCAATTAGCACTGCTCAGAAATGCACTAAATAGTCTCCAAGTGGCTTGGAAGAGTTAATGTCTCCCCAAATGCCTAATTTGCTACTCAGCATTGACAGAGACATAGAAGCAAACAGATACCACTAGTGTTTAGTAGCACTGAAATAAAGTGAAAAAGAATCTAAGCATTTTCTTTTGTCTCTTTAGGGCATTATTTCTGTCTACTGTTCACCCGCTCTAATTATCCTGGCAGCTCACTTAAATTACATTATTTCTGCTACTAAGAAGATGAGCCAGATTTTCCCCAGTGCCGATGACATAGTATCATCAACAGAAAAGTCTTGATGATACCCTAGTGACTTCAAAGTGTTAATCCATCTCACTGGATGCTTATCTGGGTTCCAAGGAATGACATGCCCCGGGGTGAATTTGGCTCAATGAAATATGGCTTTAGCACGTGCAAGCAACAGTACTGTTCAATTTGTTTTTCTTATATTTACATTAGGTAAGTGTTGGCAATGAGACTTAGATTTTGAAGCAAACATAACACTATGCCTGCTGCTCATGTTGGGCTGTTTTCAGGTCAATTAGTGCCTCCCAAATTCTTAAAGCAGGTGCTAATCTGGTGCTTAAACTGAGACATTGGCATATTTTCTCTGTAAAGAGAAGTTGGAAGTGCTTTGTATAAGAGTTTAAGAGGATAGATTAATAAACAAATGCTTTACTTTCCCTTTTAAATTTAATTTTTTAAAAAAGTAAAAAATATTTAAAATTAAAGCTTAGTTTAAAACTATCTTAAGCAGCTTTACTCTTAAAGAGAAAACGTAAATGGCATAGTTTGATTTGATTCTCCATATTAATTTTTTATCTCTAATTTGGACTCAGTCCTTGTTTACACCAGTGAATTAATGAGTAAAACTCAATATCTTCTTCAATGTAGGTTCCTTCTTTCTAATGGGAATATGTCATGAAGAGTACCCCATGAACAAAATTGTGTTTCAGAGATAATTGTAAAAAAAAAAAAAGAAAAGAAAAATACTGTGTGAATATACAAGTACATTCCATTTATAGGAAATCATTCATCAAATTTCTATAAAAACTGTACTAAAGTCTCATACCTGTTAGGGATTTGTATTAAAGAGAAAGATATCATATAGGCCCTGAGCTTAAGGCATGCAAAGTCCAGGAGGGGAGATAGAAACAAATTATAATACACTGTGAGAGCCCCAGCAGCTATCATACCAAGCATGCAAGAGGACCATGGATGATCAATTCTATCAGGGTTTCTCAGACACTGGACTAGCTTTCTCAAAGGAATAATACCTGAAGCAGATTATGAAATGTAAAAGTTAAATTTTTTAAATTTTTAAGAGTATTGGAGAGTAAAGCAGCCTGAGCAGAAGAATAACAACAACAACAACAAAAAAAAAAAACAAACAAAAACAAAACATGTTCAACAACAGGAAGAAACTGACATTTGCTTGGAGAATACAAAAGCTGTAGAGTGCTATTGGTATAAAATCAGTAAGACAGGTCAGCAATGTGGGAGTTAGGGTTAGACATTTTAGGAACCAAATAATGACGTGACTCACATTACATGTTAACCAGCTTAAAATGTTTCTGTGATGAAGTAGTTCTTATAATTCAAAATGCAAAGATAACCTCAGGGAGTTTGTTAAAATGCAAATTCTAAACTCAAACCTCAGAGACTCTGATTTAGCAGGTCTGGTTAAAACCAAAGATTCTGTACTTGTAGCAGATCCCACAGATTATTTGGAGACATACCAGTGTTCTCATCATTTTTGAGACTATGTATTTTACCAAAGTGCCAGTTATTCTGGCAGATAAATTAAAATATTTTTAATTTGATAGAATGATAATAGTTTAGATAATTTAATAACACTTAATATTTCTTGACTACTTACTGTGAGCTAAACATTCTAAGTTCTAAGTGATTGATATATATTAGCTCATTTTCTTCTCAAATTAATATTAAAAATAGGTAACATAACTAACTCCCTATATAGATGGGCGCCTGAAGGACAGAGGCTGCTTTTCATTGGCATCTCTTCTGAAGCTTCATTTCCCTCTGATTTCCCCACTCTGTTAATTAATTTACCACTCCGTTTGTTGACATCTCTGATCTGCTGTTACCTTACCACTTACTCTGTAGTTTTACATGATTATTTATGTCTTTAATTCAACTGCCACTATCACTGAATTTCAGTAGGGAGTAAAAGTAAATCCCTGTATCCGTGATGTTTAACCAGGTATCTGCCAAGCATTTTTCACATAAGAAAAATTCTATGATTTTTTTTTTGTTTTATTGGCTTGCTGTCTAAGTCATTGTTGATGTTGACAACAAAGAGCGGTTAAGCCCAGTGGGGTAGTCCAGGTCTCCTAAAAAGCAGATGTCAAGTTGGGATTAGATATTAAAAATATTAGGAGAAAGGCTGGCCTGGCATGGTAGCTCACGCCTGTAATCCCAGCACTTTGGGAGGCCGAGGCGGGTGGATCACGAGGTCAGGAGATCGAGACCATCCTGGCCAACAGGCTGAAACCCCATCTCTACTAAAAAAAAAATACAAAAAAATTAAATGGGGGTGGAGGCACATGCCTGTAGTCTCAGCTACTCAGGCGGCTGAGGCAGGAGAATTGCTTGAATCCAGGAGGCAGAGGATGCAGTGAGCCAAGATCGCCACTGGCGACAGAGCGAGACTTTGTTTAAAAAAAAATATATATATATATATATATTTTTTTTTTTTTTGTTTAAAAAAATATATATATATATATGAGAGAGAAAAAGGCTTCTGAAGTGAAGTGCATGATGCCAGGACAGCTGGGAGATATGTCAAGACCACTGCACAGGCCTAACCTTTCTAAGGGAGGAAGGGAAAGAAGATGAAGTAGGAGAATCTTAGACTGCAGTGTGATTCTAACAGTTCGTCAGGGTTCATGTGGATTCCTTGAGCCACACTTGCCCACCAGAGGGATTGATTATTCATCTTCTAGGAATGGGCCAGATTTAGTATCACTGCTATGTTGAAGCATTGGCTAGAAGTGGCCCATGAGAAACATTTTACCGGTGAAACATAGAGATGGAATTCAGAGGGCAATAGCAGCATCACAATCTCTGAAGATAGAAGTCTGAGGGTAGACTTTCATGGCCACCAAAGCTAACAATGATCAACAACCTATATTAAATAAATATTAATTTTCTCTCTATATGTATCACTTGTGTAACTCCTGAATCAATAAAAAGCTGCCAGATAGAATATTGCTTTTACCTTTCCTTATAGGCATGTCTATACAAAGGAGACAGTGGATCTGAATTGGTTTAAATTATTTTGTATCAGGTTCTCTAAGAAACACAGATTAACAAGAGTTCTGCCTCTACCTGGTCTCCTGCCTTAAGCCAAATGACTTTTTGATTAAAAAGATTTTACTGTGCAAAAGGATGAAGAAACACTGATTAAATGGAGCAGACTTGAGGGAGAGATGATGAAGACAAACGTCTTCAGAAACCAAATCATTGCTAGATTACCAGATACTTAGAGGAATTGGATCTAAAAACAATAGTTATTCATATTTTTGCTTATTTTTCACTTAAGATATTTATGTATTTATTTTTGCTATCGAATAATGTGAATTCTTTATATATTTGGAAATTAACCCTTTATCAGATATATGATTTGCAAATATTTTCTACCATTCTGTAGCTTGCCTTTTCATTTTGTTGATTGTTTTCTTTGTTTACAGAAACTTTTTAGTTTGACGCAGTACTACTCATTTGTTTTCACTTTTGTTTCCTATATTTTTGATATTATACTGAAAACGTCATATTATACTGAAAACTAATATCAAGGATTTTTTTCTGTTTTCTTTAGGTTCAGGTCTTACATTTAAGTCTTTAATCCATTTCCACCTAGTTTTTAGTATAGTATAAGGCAAGTGTCCAATTTCATCCTTTTGCATGTGGTTATCTAGTTTTCCCAACACCTTTTACTCAAGGGACTATTATTGCCACATTGTATATTGGTGCCCTTGTCAAAGATCAGTTGACTGTATATACCTGGGTTTATTTCTGAACTCACTGTCAGGTTATATTGTTCTGTATGTCTATTTTTATGCCAGGAACATACTGTTTTGATTACTGTAGTGCTGTTATGTGATTTGTTATCAGGGAGTATAATATCTCTACCATTGTTCTTCTGGCTCAAAATTTTTTTGGTTATGCCAGTTTTCTGTTTCTAAGAGAATTTTATGATTTTTTTCTACTTGTGTAAAATATGCCATTGGATTTTTTATTGGGTCTACATTGAACCTGTAGTTAACTTCGTGTAGTATGAACATTTAAACAATATTAATAGTCCCAATTGATAATTTTTTAAAAGTATCTTTTTATGTATTTGTGTCATCTTCAATTTCTTTTATCAATATCTTGTAGTTTTTACTGTACAGATTTTTCAACACCTTCATTGAATTTATCCCTAAGTATTTTTTAATGCTATTGTAAATGAAATTTTTAACTTTTTTCAGATTGTTTGTTGTTAGTGTATGGAAATGTAACTGATTTTGTATGTTGATTTTGTATCCGGCAACTTTACTGAATTCATGTATTGGTTTTAAGATTTTTTTTTGGTTGAGTTGTTAGGGTTTCTTTATATAAGATTGTGTCATCTGCAAACAGAAACAAGGTAACTTCTTCTCTTCTGATTGGGATGCCTTTATTACATTTCCTTGCCTAATTGCTCTGGCTAGAATTTCCACTATTGTGTTAAATAGAAGTGGTGAGAGTAGGCACCTTGTCTTGTTCCAGTTCTTAGAGAAAAAAATAGACATTTTTCCAAAGAGGAAATCCAAATGGCCAACAGAAATATAAGGTGCTCAACATAACTATCACCAGGGAAAAGCAAATAAAAACCACAATGAGATATCACCTCATCTCTCTTTGACTATTATCAAAAAGAGAAAAACAAGTGTTGGCAAAAATGTACAAAAAAGGGAGCTCTGAAACTGTTGGTGAGAATGTAAATTGGCACAGCCATTATGGAAAAGCACTACGGAGATTCCTCAAAAAAATTAAATATAGAACTACCAAATGATCCAGTAGTCCAACTACTGGGTATATATCCAGAGGAAATAAGATCACTATTTTGAAAAAAAAATTGCATTCCCATGTTCATTGTGGCATTATTCACAAAAGTCAATATATGAAAACAACATAAATGTACATCTAGATGAATAGATAAAGAAAATGAAATATTTCTGTCATAAAAAAGAGGGAAATACTGCCATTTGTGACATTAATCAACCTGGAGGACTTTACACTGAGTAAAATAAGTCAGTTAACAGAAGGACACATACCATATGGTTTCACTCTAAGTGAAATCTAAAAAATATTAAAGACTTAGAAGCAAAGAGTAGAAGAATAGTTGCCAGGAGCTGAAGGTGTCAGGGTGCAGTAAGGGAAATGGGGAGATATTGGTCAAAGGGTACAAACTTTTAATAATAAAGAATGTGAGCAAAACTAAACTAGAGGACATTGAAGAAGAAATAGATAAATTGTACATTTCACTTGGTAAAGAGTTTTGGAAGTGAAGTATATAGATCTTGAACAGGAATCATAATCTAATTATAATCCACTCTCAGATTTTCACGAAGTAGATGTTAAAATAAAATAATTGGCAACACATATATACCATTTAATACATGAAAAAGAGAGATTAAAATCCAGGATGTATATATGTGTATTTACTGGTCTTAAGGAGAAATATTAGGATTTTCTCTCACTTAAGCTATCAAACTAAGATAACCAATAATGCCTACACAGAGTGTTTTCCCTCTCTTCTATCTCATCATTCCTAGCCACTTAAGGTTTAATTAAATTAATTTCATAGCAAGTTAGCCTGTTTTTCCTTTATTTTTAGTTTCTTGTATTGTTTCCATGTGTTATATTTTAAATTTTTTGAATCTATTGAAAATTCTAAATATTATTTTCTTTCTCTCACTGGCTAAATTTAATTCTTTATAAATTTTGCTATATTCCTCACTATCTAAACCTTTTCTCATTAAGAATGCTTAACATTTCTTTTTCTCCTCTGTAATTAATATTTTTGCATCAATTAATTAATTAATTGATTATTTCTTTTTAAACTCTTTGCCAAGCTTTGCAATCAACAAATAAGTCAAGACCTTCACCTTCATTTCACTTAGATTCTAGTATGAAAAGGGAAGCTATTTACTTGTATTCAAATAAATAAAATGATACATTATTATATCTAAGGAGAGGAATAAATAATGAAATGTGATAAAGTAAACAGGATGGCCAAATTTGGATAATGTTTTTCTTAAATTTATTTATGAAAATGTGTTAAAATTAATTTTCAGCATATTGGATACTGCTGACATATTCTATTACTAACTCTTTGTTCTAAGTATGTCATAAATCAGTGTTTGATAAATACACTTTATTGCTACTTTTATTACATTTAATTTAGTTCCACCTGGTATCTGCATAATTTGAACAATAGGCAAAAATACTAAAATAAATGTTAACACCCACGATAACTGCGTTTAGTCTGAGGGATTTGGACCCCAAGTTTTCTGCTAAAGGACGAATTACTTCAGCACTTCTTCTATTATCAATGAGAAATTCCTGAATACAGGAAAGATGGCTGGCTCTGCACCAGTGGGCTCATCCCACTGGGTGTTTGCTGTCAGTCCAGGTTCCTTGGTGTGTGTCCCAGCTAAGATGTGCTGAACTGGCTAAAATGATATTTGGCAGCAATGCATTCTAAAGCTTGTTTTGGAGAGAATAAAGCTTACAGGGCTATTTGATTTCTTGTGCCCAGTAAGAAATAGCAGTAGCATGTCTTCAGATTTAACCAAAGGTGGGTACTGCAGCCCTCTGTCAGCTAATGATTGAATTACACAAAATCCCTCCACAATTTACATCAAATCAGTTGTGCCTATTAATAAATAATAATCAATATAAGTAGGGAATAGAAAATAGTGTGTAATGTTGGGAAATTGACTTAAAGCTGTTTATTCATTTGAATGTGGCTAACATTATCTTCATCACAGTACTTTTTTGAAGATTAAGTGCTATAACATATATGAAATCACAAACCATGCGACTTCTCAAGAGGCAGGTGTTTTGTTCATTTACTTCAGTTGTCTTTTTTTCTGGGTCTTTTTTAAAACAATTGCATGACTTTGTGTGAAGGATTTGAACTTTCTGAGTCTCTATTTTCCCATTTAAAATAAAACGATGAATTGAATGATCTTTTGTCCTTCTGCCTTATAATTCCTCGTCTTTGATTTAAATACATATATACATATAGCTTCTAAAAGAATTGACTTCTAATTAAGGGAACTGATTTACAAAGTAGTCAACACTCCTTTCCTTTAACTGTGTCAATAGAAGATGACCTCTGTAATAGAGTTCCATTGACACAAAAGCTTCCAAGCTGATAGAAAGCAGATGTGTTGTATTTGAAATCTACAGTTATTTCTTCTTTAAAAGGTAGCCAACTTCTTTAAAATTAAGGATTTTAAAGTTAAAAAAATTCTGATATCTCCTCAAAATAGCTGCACATTCTATCAAGTTGAATGGCAGCATTCAGCTGGAGTAGGAGTCATTTGCCTCTTTGGAAGATGTATTACCCTTTTTCAGAGACCTCTTTTGTTCCTTTTTTGTCTTCCAATCTCACTCCTCAATGACCTCCCGAACCTCATAGTCACTTGAATTTTTTTGCCCCCAGCCTAGAGGTTTGGGGAGAGGAGCTGAAAATCCTTTGACACCGCATTTTCACTCTTTATATGTATTTTTTAAATACAGTTTGTCGAGGGAGGCTGAGGCAGGAGAATCGCTTGAACCTGGGAGGTAGAGGTTGCAGTGAGCCCAGATCACGCCTTTGGGCGATAGGGCGAGACGCTGTCCCAAAAAATACAAATAAAAATAAATAAAATAAAATACAGATTGTTGAAAAAAAAAATTGAAGGCTTAATTATTTCAAAAAGTAATTGTTTTTCCAAAGAAAGAAAGAAAGAACAATGAAAAATGTGTTATCTTTAACGTAGTCATATTAAAATATTTTCACAAATTTTACTCGGGACATGGAATGCCAGCTGAGAGAATACTGACATCTGATAACTAAACAATCTCATTGAGGTTTAAATATTTTGGGAAATGTTTTTTAAAGCACTGAACTTGAACTTGCAATCATACATTTTTGAAGTGAAAGAAAACATTGTACATAACATATAGCTTTCAAATTTCCACATATCCGTAAATGTAGCTCCTTTCTGAAATTTTAGAAATAATACTATATTCTTCCATTCTTCCACACTTATGAAACTTTCTATATACAGGAATTTCAATTTCCAGAAATTTTCTTTTGAATCTCATTAACAAGTCAATGGTTAGTTCTTCACCATGGAAAAGGTGCATTTGAGACGGAGTTTCACTCTTGTTGCCCAGGCTGGAGTGCAATGGTGTGATCTTGGCTCACCACAACCTCCGCCTCCGGGGTTCAAGTAATTCTCCTGCCTCAGCCTCCCGAGTAGCTTGGATTACAGGCATACACCACCAAGCCTGGCTAATTTTTTTGTATTTTTAGTAGAGAAGGGGTTTCTCCATGTTGGTCAGGCTGGTCTCGAACTCCCAATCTCAGGTGATTTACCTGCCTAGATGACTCTATTGAGATGAGGTATGCAAATACTGTATTCCTATGAGTTATTTCTTCTGGATGAAGGAATTTTCACCTATTGAGAGTAAAATCCAGTGGGATATGTTTAAATGACCCCCCAAAAAATTAAGAGAACAAAAATAACATGTAGTCAGTGCTAGTTGGCCCTGTATATAAGTGGGAGTATGTAAAAGAATATTATCCAGTTTCTTTTAAAATAAACCAATTTTTCAAATTCATCAAATACTATTTCATATTCACTGTTTCATTTCATTAAACTTCATTTCCATATTTATTTAGGAAATTATTCAAGAACTATAGTTACTGAGGAAGTAGTCAGGTATTTAGCAATCACAAGGAAGCTTTGCTGATTCATCTCCATATTATAACACTGTGGGATTTTCATACTCAACTAATTGCACTGCATATTTGATGATTCAACCACCAATTCCACTGATACAGCTGCACACTTTGATGTTACAATTGCTGAGTTTTAAACTATGCTACAGGTTGTGAAGCTTGATTTTCTGATTAGGTTGCCAGGTTTAATAATTGAGCGCTAAATGTAGCACAATTTATTAATCAGGTCCTAGTCATTATTAGCAAAAGTTGAATTTTTTTAACTCTGGAGTTTTCTTGTTTCCTGATTTTATTTATTCATCTTTTAAGTTTAATTAATACAAATTTTACAGAAAGATTTAGTGCCAAAATCATGATATGCCTTATATTAAGTATTTTATACAATGCATTTATTATTATAAAATAATCAACAGAAATTTAGTTAAATATTTCTTTGTAATATTTTACAATCTCTTATTTTCCTACCCTCAAAGTACATTTCTATATTTTCAATATATCGTATAATGTAGCTATGGAAATATAATATAAAATTTATATACATATCAGTGTGTATGTGTATGAGAATATATTTGGAAATATACACTTATTTATGATATGGGGCTAATTTATAGTAAAGGTTTCTTAGAAAGTAAAATAAATAAATCTGATCGATTCAATATTACACTGTTTATTATTCATAAAATGTTTTTCTCACAGTTGCTGGGGTTAAAAATTTTCGGTTATGCAAGTTGAAATAGTTCAAGAGGTCTGCTGTATAACATTGTGCTTATAGTTAACAATACTGTTCTAAAAACTTAAAAATTTATTAAGGGGATAAATTTCATGTGACATGTTTTTTACTACAATAAAAATGACAATAATGGTAAACATATTTGTATAAAATTAAAAGATAGGTATAACTCAACTATAGATGGAATAATCAGCACAGTTAGGAAATTTCAGTATAGTCAAGAAGTCAGGATACTTGTTACTTTTGAAAGGAGGATTGGGAAAGGCACAAGGGATTATCTGGGGTACTCAAAATGAGAGATTTGCTGACCTTAGTAGTTGATGGCTTTTTAAAAAAATTCATTGCACTTCATGTTTTGTGTACTTTGCTGTGTGTATCATATATTTCAATATAATAGCTAAACTACTATTTTTAAATAATAAATATCACCTAATTATAGTTATATTACAGTGGAAATAATAACATTCTTACTCACTGAAGTAGTAATTTTGGGCATTTACTATATAATGAAGACACTCAGATCAGCAAGGGATATAGAAAAAAAAAAAAAACAACAGTCAAGTGAAAGCTGTATAAATCCTCTGCTGGGGCTGTGCACACAGTGCTTCAGGAACAGAGATGTAAAGCATGTTGGAAATTGATCAGGGAAGATTTTTCAGAGTAAGGAGACATAAAGAGAAAGAATGATTGGCATTTACAAGACATAAGGGGAAAAGGACACTCCAAATAAAGGAAACAACATGTGAAAAGGCAACGATACGAAGGTTCATGGATATCTGGGAACATCATTGCTGCAGGCAAATGGTTGTTTCCATATTCTAAGATTACGTATTGACTTTTAGAGAGCATGTGAAGTTCTAGTCCTCATCATTAATTAATACTCCCTACTAAAACCATGTCTTTATATTATGACATAACTCAATTGACTAATAAAGATTTAAGATATCTTTAAATAGTGGTGTGCTTTATTATTTTTAAAGAGCCTGTTTCTTCTATTTTCTGACCCTTACATAAATTAAGTGAAGATGAAGGGTAAGTATTATCCTAAGTTCAAAATTGGATGCTGATGTAGTGATTTGTTCAGCAACACAAACTGAGTAAGTGATAAAGATGAACCCTTAAATAAGATTATTTTAGTCTAGGAACTGATATAGTATAAACTGTAGAGGATTTGAATTAGGAAGTTTCCATATTAGAGTCCAAACTCTACCAATTAGGTGGTGGATAATGTTTTGGGATTTTATTTAAACTTCTCTGAGTTTTGTCTCCTAATCTATGAAATAATATTAGCTGGTGAGAGAATTTAAAAGAAAAACATATTTTTAGTCACTTGGCACATATTAGATAACCAATAATATTAATATTTCTATCACTCTAAGTCGCATGTTTATAGAAATTATGTAAACAGAACCATCAATTAAATTACACCCTACAGAAGATATGCATTAGTGGACCTATATTTCCATTACCACAATAACAGAAGGTGTATTGCAAATGAGGTTTTTTTTAATGTTTTTCTTTTTATCTTAAAGCAATGAGGCACCCAATCACAAAATTGATACACCAGATTACCAAAATAAAGTTTTATTTTATTTATTTATTTATTCAATAAGGCAACTCTCCAGAGAAATAAACCTTTATTGTTGCTATCCATGGAGATTTTGGGATTATTAGTTACACAGCATACCTTACAAAAGATGATTATAGAGTTGTATTTTTACTGGTGTATGGTATTATATTTCTTTTTTCCTGTTTTCTTGCCATACAAAATATATATTTTTTATTTCAATAGCTTTAGGGGTACAATTGGTTACCCAATAGGTAGTGTTTCCTGTCTAACCCCCTTTCACCTCCCTGCTTCTGAGCCTCCAATGTCCATTATATCACTCTGTATGCCTTTGGGGACCCAGAGCTTAGCATCCACTTTAAGTGAGAATTTGCAGTATTTGATTTTCGATTCCTGAGTTACTTTACTTAGAATAATGCCCTCCAGTTTCATCCAAGTTGCTGCAAAAGGCATTATTTATTTATTTTTATGGCTGGGTAGTATTCCATGGTATATGTACCACATTTTATTATCCACTGATCAGTTGATGAGCACTTAGGTTGATTCCACATCTTTGCAATTGTGAATTATGCTGCAATGAACATATGCATGCAGGTGTCTTTTTAATATAGTGACTTCTTTTCCTTTGGTTAGATACCCAGTAGAGATTGCTGGATCAAATGGTAGATTTACTGTTAGTTCTTTGAGAAATCTCCATTCTATTTTCCATAGGGGTTGTACTAATTTACATACCCGCCAATAATGTATAAGCATTCCTTTTTCACCACATCCATGACAACATCTATCGTCTTTAGACATTTTCATAATGGTCATTCTGCCTGGAGTAAATGGCATCTCATTTTGGTTTTAATTTGCATTTCTCTGATGATTAATGATGTTTAGCATTTTTTCATATGTTTATCGGCCATTTGTGTATCTTCTTTTGAGGAGTGCCTATTTATGTCTTTTTGCCACTCTTTAATGAAATTATTTGTTTTCTTCCTGCTGATTTGTTCAAGTTCCTTGTAGATTCTGGATATTAGTCCTTTGTTGGATGTATGATTTAAAAATATTAATTTTTCTCTCATTTTGTAGATTGTATGTTTAATGATAATTTCTTGTGTTGTGCAGAAGCTTTTTAGTTTAATTATGTCCCATTTTTATATTTTTGTTTTTGTTGCATTTCGTTTTGGGATCTTATTCATGAATTATTTGCCTCGGCCAATGTCCAAAAGGGATTTTCCTAGATTTTCTTCTAGAATTTTTATGATTTTAAGTTTTAGATTTAAGTCTTTAATCCACCTTGAGTTAATTTTTGTACATGATGAGAGACAGTTATCCAATTTCATTCTTTTATGTGGCTATCCAATTTTCCCAGTGCCACTCACTGAATTGAGTACCCTTTTCCCAATTTACATTTTTGCATGCTTTATTGAAGAACAGTTGTTTGTAAGGATTTGTCTTTACTTGTGGGTTCTCTATTCTGTTCAGCTGGTTGATGTGTATACTTTTATACCAGTACCATGCTGCTTTGGTTTCTATATCATTGCAGTATAGTTTGAAGTTGGGTAATGTTATGACTCTAGATGTGTTATTTTTGATTAGGATTGTTTTGGCTACTTAGGTCCTTTTTGGTAGCATATTAATTTTAGCATTTTTCTAATTCTGTGAAAAAATAATGTTGATATTTTGATAGGAATTGCATGGAATCTATAGATTCCTTTTGGTATCTACAGTATATAAAGTATAGTAATTTTCATATTGATTCTTCCAGTCCATGAACATGAAATGTATTTCCATTTGTTTGTGTCTGTGATTTCTTTCAGCAGTGTTTTTTAGTTCTCTTGTAGAGATTTTTCTATCCTTAGATAAGTATATTTCTATGTATTTTAGGTTTTTTTTTCAGCTGTCATAAAAGGGATTGAGTTTTTGATGTGATCCTTAGCTTGGTCATTGTTGGTGTGTGAAGTGCTACTGATTTGTTTACATTGATTTTATAAACTGAGATCTTACTGAATTCATGTATCAGAATTAGGAGTCTTTTAGAGAAGTCTTTAGTGTTTTCTAGGTATAAGATCACATCATGCAAACAGAGATAGTTTGACTTCCTCTTTTCCAAGAGGAAGTCCATGCTTTTGGATATCCTTTATTTCTTTATCTTGCCTGATTGCTCTGGCTAAGATTTCCAGTACTATGTTGAAGAAAAGTGGTAAAAATGGGCATCCTTATCTTGTTCCAGTGGTTAGGGGAAATGCTTTCAACTTTTCTCTGTTTGGTATGATGTTGTCAGTGGATTTATCATATATGACTTTTCTTACTTTTAGGTGTGTTTCCTTTATGCCTAGTTTCTTGAGGGTTTTTATTATAAAGAGATGCTAGATTTTATTAAATGTTTTTTATGCATCGATTGAGATGATCATATGGTTTTCTCTTTAATTCTGTTTATGCACTAAATCATATTTATTAATTTGAATATATTGAACCATCCCTACATCTGTGTAGTTGCTTTAAAGCCTATTCTATTTTATCTGATATAGGAATAGCTACTCCTCCTTGGTTTCCATTTTTGTGAAATATTTTTTCCACTCCTTTACCTTGAGTCTGTGAGATTCCTTACGTGTTCCATGTGTCTCCTGAATACAGAGCTTTTTGATTTTTTATCCATCCTGCCAATCCTCTATCTTTTAAGTGGAGCATTTAGATCATTTACATTCAATGGTAATATTGGGTGTTGAGGCACTATAGCAGTTATCATGTTGATTGTTACCTAAGGACTTTGTTTTCTTCACTATGTTATTGCTTTATAACCTTTTGAATTTTCTGCTTTCAGTAGTTTGTATTCTGGTCAGTTTCGACCTTTTGTTTCAAGATTTAGAGTGCCTTTTAGCATTTGTTGTAGGGCTGACCTAGTATTGACAAATTTCCTCAGAATTTGCTTGTCTGAGAAATAATTTATTTCTCCATTTCTGAAACTTATTTTTGTTGAATATAAAATCCTTGGCTGACAGTTATTCTATTTGAGGAGACTAAAAATAGAACCCCAATTCCTTCTGGCTTTTAAGGTTTCTGCTGTGAAGCCTGCAGTTAGTCTGATAGGTTTTCCTTTGTAAGGTTACCTGATGTTTTTGTCTCACTGCTCTTAGAATTCTTTCCTTCACATTGATTTTAGATAGCCTAATGACTGGATTCATTAGTGATGTCCTTTTTACAATGAGTATCCCAAGAGTTCTTGTATCTCCGTTGAGCTTCTTGTATTTGAATGTCTAAATCACTAGCAAGTCCAGGGAAGTTTTCCTCAATTATTTTCTGAAGTAGGTTTTCCAAAGTTTTTGCTTTTTCTTTTCCCTCAGGAACATCTACAATTCTTAACTTTGTCCATTTGATATTATTCCATATTTATTGAAGACTATTTCTTTTGATTCTTTTTTGTTTGTTTGTTTGATTGGTTTACATTTGAAAGCCTTATCTCCGAGCTCTGATTTTTTTTTAGCTTGGTCTAATCTATTGTTAAAATTCTCCATTGCATTTTGCAGTTTCATAAATGTCTCTTTTATTTCCAGACAGTCTGATTGGTTTTTCTTTAAAATATCTATCTCTTTATAAAATTTTGCATTTATATCCTGAATTGCTTTTGTGTAAATTTCTTTATGTTGGTCTTCACTATTCTCTTGTATCTCCTTGAGTAACTTAATAATCAACCTTTTAAATTCCTTATCTGTTATTTCAAGGATATCACCTCAGTTTGAATCCACTACTAGAGAGTTACTGTGATCTTTAGGAGGTGTTATAGAACCCTGCTTCTTCACATTGACAGAATTATTTTTCTGGCTCCTTCTCATTTGGGCAGGCTGATTCTTCTAAGTATTTTTAAATTTATTTTTTATTCAACTGGTTTTTTAGAAAAAAATATTTATCCTCCCTGCAGATGTGACTTTAATGCTTATAGTTTATTTTCATCTAGTTTCAGCTCTGGGTGCTTTCAGTGGTGAAGAGTCAGAATCAGTTCCATGATTATAGAGTTTGTGTGATGGCTTTCTCAAATGCTGGTTGTAGAAGTGATGTGCTGGGTGTATCATCAGGTTCACTATCTTCTGTGGGGCTGAAATGGCAGTAGTCTCATGAAGCTTATCTTACTCCCCAGTGGTGTGCACTTTCAAAAACTTTCTTCCCTAGTCTTTTATTCACTGGGTTGAACAGTTCAGGCTTCAGGTATATAGGAGGTGCCTACCAGTAAAAATCAGTTGAAGCTACTGATTTTTTAGCAAGGAAGGGAGATAACCAACACAGCTCTCATTTCAGGCCAGCATGAAAATTATCCACCTCTTATTCACAGTCCTGACCTGCTATTTCAGCTGTTCAGATCAGACAGCAACCTCTTTTCATCTGCAGGAATGCTGATGTTCCATGTAGAGAGGAATTATGACTATGCCTCTCGTGCAAGTCTGAGCCTGGAGGACACTCATCCTGTGGTATGCCGTCGCCCCAAAGTGATCCAGAAAAGCTGTCTGCAGACGCGCTCCTGCCAAACTCCTGTGGAAGAAGCCCCAGCTATGTTTTCAGTGGTGGGTCTGGGGAGAAGAAGTATCCTTTGGCAAAATCCTTCAAAAGTACCAGAGAGCCCTGGCTGTTGGGGTACACTTGCAGACTTTCCCCACTGAGCCACTTTACCTGTGCCTCTGCTGAAAGAAACTTCTCACAAGTGGAAAGTTGAGGGGCTGAAGGCCTGCAGTCTGATTTCTTTTGTTCTACAGGATACTCCCTTAATGTGATCAAAACTGCTTTTGCAAAGATTATAACCGAGGAAATTACGACAGTGAAAGAGATCAGACCTAACTGACTCCATCTTGCTTCTAATCTTGTTCAATATCCTTGTTAATTCCTGGGCATAGGTCGAAAAACCTTGTGAAGGAATTCAGTTTATGGTTTGACTCTGAAACAAAGCTGCTAACAGCCCTTTCTCGAAAAGACCTCCTTCTCACCCGGGAACTAGTCTGCCTTTGTAGGACTAACAAATTAGCTACAAGGTTAGAAATTACTGTTTAGGGGTCATGCAGCCTCTGGCTCCAAGAGTCTGAACCTCCCCACATTGCTCCTAGGAATAACGCCACTACTGTAAAACCTAAGATCAGGTTTTATTTTAAAATATCAGGTGATATTTTGCAGACCCTGCATTGGGTGGATCAACTGACACCACCCAGACCTGTAATCTGGCCCAACCAGTTCTGCGATCCTACTCAGGAACAGAAGATAGCAAGAAAACCTCATCTTGACCCCCTATGATTTCATTTCCAACCTGACCAATCAGCACTCCCCACTTGCCCAGCTCCTACCCACCAAATTGTCTTTAAAAACTCCCTATCCTGGAATGCTCAGAGGGACTGATTTGAGTAATAATAAAACTCTGGTCTCCCACACAGAATTACTGCATGAATTACTCTTTCTCCATTGCAATTCCCCTGTCTTGATAAATCGGCTCTGTCTAGGCAGCGGGCAAGGTGAACCCATTGTGCGGTTACATGGTGCCCTCCCATATGCCCTAGAAGTAGCCATTCCTGAGGGTCAGACTACTATGAATCCTGATGCTCCTCTATGTCTAACTGCCCAGCGGGGAAACCACATTCCAGGCTGGTGCTGGGGAATGTCTGCTAAGTATCCAATGATGTGGCCTGTTCTCTAGTCTCCCTGCAGTGGGTAACAGCACCAGCTCTGATGGGGGTGGGAGGGGGCTTACATAGACTCTGAGATTCCCTTAGTTATATATAGCCTTATTGTGTTGGTATTCTCAAAGGCCAAATTTAGTATTAATGTACTGGGCGTGTGAACAGACTCAAGACCTCCTGGTCAGCCAGGGTGATGCAAGAAATGGTGGTAACCGAGGCCATGCAAAAGTTTTCTCTTTCCTGAATGCTGTTATTCTGTCTGCAGATGCTGTAATGGACTGTGTTGGTTGGCCTCCAGCCAGGAGGTGGTGCTTGCAAAATAGTACCAGCTGCAGTGGTAGCAGTGGGGTTTGCGCTTGCCTTATGTTTCCCAGAGAATGTACTCTGGTGTCTCGGGCAAGGGGCGGGACCATGGAGCTCTAAAACATCCCTGTCTATTGTGTTGTACAACCAGAGCAGATGAAGGGGTAAAGCCAGAGCAGGTGGAGGCTGGGTCAGGCAAGTCCGTGCTCGGGCTCCCCATGTGCAAGCTCAGGAAGTGGCTCCAATGTGGATCAGAGGGCAGTTGCCTTGCCTCTGGGGTAATGTTCTAGGGAGGAGTGCAGCTTCTTCTGCTGCATAAAATAATCTGCACAGGGAGCGGTGGGTAGCCGGCAGCAGTAAGCTCCACTCAGCTCCCATGCACTTGGCAAGGCACATCTCACACTCACAGTGTTCTATTAGCAACAGCTAGCTGAGTTCCAGGCAGCCTCTACCCAGAACTCAAAACTGGTGGAGAACACAGCTTTCAGGCCATGCCCCTCCCAGTCAACCTATGAAGCAGGTGGCTATAAGCACACTTTCCGCTTGCTACTCCATTCTGGCTGATGGGGCTCATCCCCACTCAAGATCATATTGAAAATTTCAGCTGGGAGATTCTCTCAACCTGTGACCAACACCTGAGTTAGCTGGCCAACTTCCATGATGTCCCTTGTGAGGTGAGAATAGGAATGGCTCTGTACCCATTGGGGTCTGGGAGTGCATGCAAAGCACATCCTGATGCCGCTTCTTCTCCTATATTCCCCACCTCTCACTAAATCAGCTCCAGAGCCTGGAAGGGTTAACACCTTCACCTGTGGCCTAGATCGCCCAGCTCCCTGTGGGAGTGTGTGTCACAGCATCATCTCTCTCCCTCTCATGACCTGGAGACTCACACTTTTCTGTATGGCCCACAGTGTAGGCTGCAGCCCATTGCTTCTTTCAAAAGGCCTGTGGTTTCTTTGACTTTTTCTGTTAAGTTCCTGTGTTGCTTCATGGAAAACCGAGTTCACAGAATAAATCTTAACACACTATTTTTGCCTTTCCAAGTGGGAGAGGCAGGCAAACATTGACTCTAATCTACCATCTTGCGGGGGGGTGGGGATGGGGGTGGGGAACAGTTTTATCTTTAAAGTGACCAATAATGTCTCTCCAGGATAGAATAAAGCAATCTTTCATATAAGTAGCAGATTAAGAAAATGGCAACAAGGAATCTCACCAGATCTTCACAACTAGGTTAATTTTGTTATTGCTTTAAATCTCCTTAATAAAAGTAACTACTTAGACAATTTTTTTTTGTAGTTAACAACACACTTGCACAATATTCAGGGCAATCAGTATATATGCAAATTTAACTACTAATATATTCACTTCAATCAGTAAAGTATGCAGAAACGTAATAGTTGAAGTGTTCAGCTTAGGTAGTAAACAGTATGCAGCTGGCTCTATAAAAATAAAATATGACTATGACATAAAGAAAATTTACAAAACGTTTAAATCTCAAGACTGCTGTCCAGGTTTTCATCAACAATATAATTTGATAAATATGTTAATCAATAGCAAATCAGTGCAATTAACAGTTTGTTGGATTTTATTGCTTTCAATTTCAGTGACATCTCATATCAAATGAAACAATATCTCTTGTATCAAATGAAGTAATATGTATTTGTAAAATAAAAGGCAAAAAGAAAAAAGTAAAATAAAAATGAAAATAAGGGTTTCTAAAATGTTGAATATTTCTGCTCTACGTGTATAATCTTTTTGGGTACCAAATCCTAATGGCATATGCTCTAGAATAACAGTAATAAAACAACTATTTATATCTCCCCTTCCCTGATTAAGGCAATGCAAATGTAGGTTGTTAATATCTGGTATGTAAAATAAAACAGTTTAATATTTTTAGAGTTCACAAGATTGGAAACCAGATCATTTATTGAAACCAAGCTTATAAAAATTATAAGCCTAGAAATTGAATGTTATATGTAGCTATAAAAACTTAACTAACTATGCTGTCATGGGGGAAATCCTTTAACCTTGTTTATATATTTATTATTATTTATTTATTTATTTTCATTTTTTATTTTTCCATAAGTTATTGGGGTACAGGTGGTATTTGGTTACATAAGTAAGTCCTTTGGTGGTGATTTGTGAGATTTTGGTGCACCCTTCCCTGGAGCAGTGTACACTGCACCATATTTGTAGTCTTATCCCTCGCCCCCCTCCCACTCTTCCCCCCAAGTGCCCAAAGTCCATTGTCCATTACATCATTCCTATGCCTTTGCGTCCTCATAGCTTAGCTCCCTCATATCAGTAAGAACATATGATGTTTGGTTTTCCATTCTTTAGTTACTTCACTTAGAATAATAGTCTACAGTCTCATCCAGGTCACTGCAAATGCTGTTAATTCATTCCTTTTTATAGCTGCAAAGTATTCCATCTCATACATAAATATATATTCCATCATATATATATATTCCATCATATGTATATATTCCATCATCTATATATATTCCATCATATATATATATTCCATCATCTATATATATTCCATCGTATATATATCTCATATATATCATCATATATATATACACCATCATATATATATACACCATCATATATATATATACACCATCATATATATATATATATATATATATATATCATCATATATATATCTCTCTCTCACAGTTTCTTTATCCACTGATTGATTGACAGGCATTTGGGCTGGTTCTATGATTTTGCTATTGTCAATTGTGCTGCTATAAACACGTGTGTGCACGTATCTTTTTTGAATAATGACCTCTTTTCCTCTGGGTAGATACCCAGTAGTGAGATTTCTGGATCAAACGGCAGTTCTACTTTTAGTTCTTTAAGAAACCTCTACACTGTTTTCCATAGTGGCTATTCTAGTTCTCACCAGCAGTGTAGAAGTGTTCCCTGTTCACTGCATCCATGCCAACATCTATTGTTCTTTGTTTTTTTGATTATGGCCATTCTTGCAGGAGTAAGGTGGTATCACAATGTGGTTTTGATTTGCATTTCCCTGATCATTAGTGATGTTGAGCATTTTTTTCAATATGTTTGTTGTCCATTTATATATCTTCTTTTGAGGATTGTATATTCATGTCCTTAGCCCACTTTTTGATGGGGTTGTTTGATTTTTTTTTTCTTACTGATTTGTTTGAGTTCATTGTAGATTCTGAATATTAGTCCTTTGTCAGATGTTAGATTGTGAAGATTTTTTCCCACTCTATGGGTTGTCTCTTTACTCTGCTGGCTGTTCCTTTTGCCATGCAAATGCTCTTTAGTTTAATTAGGTCCTAGCTATTTATCTTTGTTTCTTTTGCATTTGCTTTTGGGTTTTTGGTCATGAAATCCTTGCCTGTGCCAATGTCTAGAAGGGTTTTTCCAATGTTATCGTCTAGAATTTGTTTAGTTTCAGGTCTTAGGTTTAAGTCTTTAATCCATCTTGAGTTGATTTTTGTATATGGTGAGAGATGAGGATCCAGTTTCACTCTCCTACATGTGGCTAGCCAATTATCCCAGCACCATTTGTTGGAAAGGGTATCTTTCCCCACTTTATGTTTTTGTTTGCTTTTTCAAAGATCAGTTGGCTGCAAGTATTTGAGTTTATTTCCGAGTTCTCTATTCTGTTCCATTGGTCTATGTGCCTATTTTTATACCAGTACCATGCTGTTTTGGTGACTATGGCCCTATAGTATAGTGTGAAATCAGGTAGTGCGATGCCTCCAGATTTGCTCTTTTTGCTTAGTCTTGCTTTGGCTATGTGGACTCTTTTTTGGTTCCATGTGAATTAAAAATATTTTTTTTCTAATTCTGTGAAGAATGAGGTGGTATTTTCATGGAAATTGCATTAAATTTATAGATTGCTTTTGGCAGTCTGGCCATTTTCACAATATTGATTCTACCCATCCATGAGCATGGGATGTGTTTCCATTTGTTTGTGTCATCTGATTCTTTTCAGCAGTGTTTTGTACTTTTCCTTGTAGAGGTCTTTCGAATCGAAAGACCTTATGTGTATTCCTAAATATTTAATTTTTTTGCAGCTATTGTAAAAGGGGTTGAGTCCTTGATTTGATTCTCTGCTTGGTTGCCATTGGTGCATAGAAGAGCTACTGATTTGTGTACATTAATCTTATATCCGGAATCTTTGTTGAATATTTTATCAGTTCTAGGAGCTTTCTGGAGGAGTCCTTAGGGTTTTCAAGGTAAATGATCATATCGTCAGCAAACAGTGACAGTTTGACTTCCTCTTTACCAATTTGGATGCCCTTTATTTCTTTCTCTTGTCTGATTGCTCTTGCTAGGACTCCCAGGACTATGTTGAAGAGGAGTGGTGAGAGTGGGCATCCTTGTCTTGCTCCAGTTCTCAGAAGGAACGCTTTCAACTGCTTTTCATTCAGTATTATGTTGGCTGTGGGTTTGACATAGATGGCTTTTATCACACTAAGGTATGTCCCTTGTATGCCAATTTTGCTGAGAGTTTTAATCATAAAAGGATGCTGGATTTTGTCGAATGTTTTTTCTGCATCTATTGAGATGATCATGTGATTTTTGTTTTTAATTCTGTTTATGTGGTGTATCACATTTATTGACTTGCATATGTTAAACCAACCCTGCATCCCTGGTATGAAACCCACTTGATGATTGTGGATAATCTTTTTAATATGTTGTTGGATTCAGTTAGCTAGTATTTTGTTAAGGATTTTAGCATCTATGTTCATGAAGGATATCAGTCTGTAATTTTCTTTTTTTGATTATGTCCTTTCCTGGTTTTGGTATTAGGGTGATGCTGGCTTCATAAAATGAATTAGGGAGGGTTCCTTCTTTCTCTGTCTTGTGGAATAGTGTCAAAAGGATTGGTACCAATTCTTTTTTGAATGTCTGGTAGAATTCTGCTGTGAATCCATCTGGTCCTGGACTCTTATTTGTTGGTAATTTTTAAATTACCATTTTAATCTCACTGCTTGTTTTTGGTCTGTTCAGGGTATCTAGTTCTTCCTGATTTAAACTAGGAGGGTTGTATTTTTCCAGAAATTTATCCATCTCTTCTAGGTTTTCTAGTTTATGTTCATAAAGGTGTTCATAGTAGCCTTGAATGATCTTTTGTACTTCAGTGGTGTCAGTTGTAATATCTGCTGTTTCGTTTCTTGGTAATGTTATTTGGATTTTCTCTCTTCTTTTATTGGTTAATCTTGCTAATGGCCTATCAATTTTATTTATCTTTTCAAAGAACCAGCTTTTTGTTTCATTTATCTTTTGTATACTTTTTTTGTTTCAATTTCATTTAGTTCTGCTCTTATCTTGGTAATTTCCTTTCTTCTGCTGGGTTTGGGTTTGGTTTGTTCTTGTTTCTCTAGTTCCTTTGTTCTTGTTTCTCTAGTTCCTTGAGGTTCAACCTTACAATGTCAGTTTGTGCTCTTTCAGTCTTTTTGATGTAGGTGCTTAGCATTATGAACTTTCCTGTTAACATCGCATTTGCGTTTCCAGAGGATTTGATAGGTTGTGTCATTATTGTCATTCAGTTTGAAGAATTTTTTAATTTCCATCTTGATTTCGGTTTTGACTCAATGCTCACTCAGGATCAGGTTATTTAATTTTCATGTATTTGCATGGTTCTGAAGTTTCCTTTTAGAGTTAATTTCCAGTTTTATTCCACTGTGGTCTGAGAGGTTGCTTGATATAATTTCAATTTTCTTAAATTTATTGAGGCTCATTCTAGGGCCTATCATATGGTCTATCTTGGAGAGAGTTCCATGCATTGTTGAATAGAATGTGTATTCTGCAGTTTTTGGATAAAATGTTCTGTATATATCTGTCCATTTGTTCCAGGGTATAGTTTAAATCCATTGTTTCTTTGTTGACTTGCTGTCTTGATCATCTGTCTAGTGCTGTCAGTGGAGTACTGAAGTCCCCCACTATTATTGTGTTGCTGTCTATCTCATTTTTCAGATCTATTAGTAATTTTTTAAATAAATTTTGGAGCTCCAGTGTTAGGTGCATGTGTGTTTAGGATTGTGATATTTTCCTGTTTGACAAGGTCTGTTACCATTATCTAATGTCCCTCTTTGCCTCTTTAAACTGTTATTACTTTAAAATGTGTTTTGTCTGATACAAGAATAGCTACCCCTACTCACTTTTGGTGTCCATTCTCATGAAATGCCTTGTTCTACCCCTTTAAGTTTATGTGAGTCCTTATGTGTTAGGTGAGTCCTCTGAAGACAGCAGATAGTTGGTTCATGAGTTTGTATCCATTCTGTGGTTCTGTATCTTTTAGGTGGAGCATTTAGGCCATTTACATTCAATGTTAGTATTGAGATGTGAGATACCATTGCATTTGTAGTGCTTTTTGTTGCCTGTTTACTTTGTTTTTTGTTTTTGCTTTTTAACATGTATTTTTGTTTTATAGGTTCTGTGTGATTTATGCTTTAAAGGTGCTCTATTTTGATGTGTTTCCAGGATTTGTTTCAAGATTTAGAGCTCCTTCTAGCAGTTCTTGCAGTGGTGGCTTGGTAATGGTGAATTCTCTCAGCATTTGTTTATCTGAAAATGACTGTATCTTTCCCTTATATATGATGGTTAGTTTCATAACTTCATATATGATGGTTAGTTTGGCTGATAATTGTTTTGTTTGAGGAGGCTGAAGATAGGGCCCCAATCCCTTCTAGCCTGGAGGGTTTCTGCTGAGAAATCTGCTGTTAACCTGACAGATTTTCCTTTGTAGGTTACCTGGTGCTTCTCTCTCACAGCTCTTAAGATTATTTCCTTCATCTTAACTTTGGATAACCTGATGACAATGTGCCTAGGTGGAGATGTTTTTGCGATAAATTTTCAAGGTGTTCTTTGTGCTTCTTGTATTTGGATGTCTAGGTCTCTAGCAAAGCCAGGGAAGTTTTCTTTGATTATTCCCCCAAATATGTTTTCCAAGCTTTTAGAATTCTCTTCTTCCTCAGGAACACCAATTATTCTTAAGTTTGGTCATTTAACATAATCCCAGACTTCTTGGAGAATTTGTTCATATTTTCTTATTCTTTTTTCTTTGTTTTTGTTGGATTGGGTTAATTGGAAGACCTTGTCTTCAAGTTCTGAATTGTTTTCTTTTACTTGTTCAATTCTATTGCTGAGATTTTCAAGAGCATTTCACATTTCTAAAAGTGTATCCAAAGTTTCCTGAATTTTTGATTATTTTTATTTAAGCTATTTATTTCTTTGAATATTTCTCCCTTCATTTCTTGTATCATTTTTTGGATTTCCTTGCATTGGGCTTCGCCTTTCTCTGATCCCTCCCTGATTAGCTTAATAACTATCCTCCTGATTTTTTTTTAAAGGTAAATCAGGGATTTCTTCTTGGTTTGGATCCATTGCTGGTGAACTAGTGTAATTTTTGGGTGGTGTTGAAGAGCCTTCTTTTATCATATTACCAGGATTGGTTTTCTGGTTCCTTCTCATTTGGGAAGGCTCTGTCAGAGGTAAGGTCTAGTGCTGAAGGCTGTTGTTCAGATTCTTTTGTCCCACGGGGTGTTCCCTGGCTGTAGTACTCTCCCCCTTTTCCTATGGATGTGGCTTCCTATGAGGTTAACTGCAGTGATTGTTCTCTCTCTTCTCGGTCTAGCCACCCAGAGATTCTACCCAGCTCTGGACTGGTACTGGGGGTTTTCTGCAGAGAGTGCTGTGATGTGAACCATCTATGGGTCTCTGAGTCGTGGATACCTGCATCTGTTCAGTTGGAGGTTGGGGTGGGGGGTTGCAATGGACTCTGTGAGGGTTCTTAGCTTTGGTGATTTAATGCTCTATTTTTGTGCTGGTTGGTGTCCTACCAGTAGGTGGTGCTTTCCAGAAAGCATAAGATGTAGTAATATAGAGAGGAACTAGCAGTGGGTGGGACCCTAGAACTCCCAAAATTATATGCCCTTTGTGTTCCACCACTAGGGAAGGGACATCAGGTGGGAGCGGGGCTAGGCACCTCTGAGCTCAGATTCTCCTTGGGCTGGTCTTGCTGTGGCTGGTGTAGGTGATGGGGGTGAGATTCCCAGGTCGCTGGAGTTGTATACCTAGGAGGATTATGGCTGCCTCTGCTGAGTCATGCAGGTTGTCAGGGAAGTGGGGCAAAGTCAGCAGTCACAGGCCTCACCCAGCTTCCACACAAACTGAAGGGCCGGTCTCACTCCCACTGGGCCGCCTGCAACAGCCCTGAGTCTGTTTCCAGGTGGAGGGCGTGACAGATTTGAAAACTTGCCCTGGGCTACCCTCCTTCCAGCTGCGAAAGTAAAGGGCTTGGTTCTTCCCTTGCCTGTAGTCTGCACACTAGATTTGCACCTTCCCCTGAGTTCTGGCCAGGAGGCTCCTGGCCCCATTCAAATTATTACTAAGTCCAGCTAGAGATGTCCTTCCCCCTGTGGAGTTTTACCCCCTGTTCCTGTGGTCACCCCCCCAATAGATCCCTGTGGTATCAGGCAGTAATAGCCTGACAGGGGACAAAGTGAGCTCCCGTGGCCTTTCTGCTGCCACCTCTACCCCTATATTTTGCTGGGGTCTCTAAATTGACTCAGCTCCAGGTAAAGTCAGAAACTTCTCCAGCAAACAGGCCTTCAGCTTCTGCTTCAGCTTCTCCAGTGGAGGTGTGTGTTCGGAGAGAAGGGTCTCCCTTTCCCACTTCCACGTTTGGGGCATTCACAGTGTTTGGGGTGTCTCCCAGGTCCTGCAGAAGCAATCCACTTTTTTCAGATGGTCTGTGGGTCCTCTTGGGATTGCTGGTTTGTTCTTGCAGTTGATCTGGAGCTAAAATTCACAGTGTGAGCTTCTGCAAGCTGCTCTGTCTGGAGCTTCAATCTAGTCTTGCCTCCCGTCCACCATGGTCACCAAACTCAACCTTGTATATTTAGATAAGAAATCTATTAACTCCTTTGGGTTTAAATGCTGTCTTTGAAAGAATTCATTTTTCTTTTTGTTTTTTAATCTTCCCTTTTTTTCAATTTTTCACAAACATTTCAATTTTACTTTTAAATTATTTTTAAATTTATATTAATTTATTTCATATCTAAATATAGAATTACTTTAAATTTTCCCACTTTTTTTTTCTTACCTCAGCCATTAAAGCAGTTGTAGAACATTATCTATCTCTTGGAAAACTTGACTGTCATAGATGGATATTGTGAATTATCTATCACACCCCCATGTCAACATCCTAGTGTGAATAATGTAGAAAGCTACAAATTCTATTTTATACTTTCTTTGCAACCAGGATTGTCACTATTTAGAAGGATGAGCCATTTAGGTTCTGCCAATCAGATGCACTAAGAGGTGCAAAGAGTGGAAAATCCATTTTGCTGGATTATGGCAGAAGCAATGTTTAGAAGCCAGGAGCTATAGTAGCAGCTTTTTGATTTTTGAAGAGGCTCAAGGTTTGCAAGCAGTGTTTATGGTGGCAAATCTAATATTCTGCCTGATGTTGGCAAAGGAGCAACTCTTCCTATGACCAAGGCCAATATGTGTTTTGGGGATTTGTTTTTGGAGCTCACACTATTGATTCAGCCCTCCAGATCTTCCCAGGAGTGAGATTCAGCCGTGAATGCCTTTCTATTTAAACTAGCCAGAGTAAATTTGGCTGTTTTTAATTGGGTATACTGATAAAGACAGTAATTAATAGATAGAAGTAGTGCAGTACACTAATCTTGCTAATTAAAGTGTGGTCCTCGACTGATATCGACTGGGAGCTTATTAAAAATGTTAAATCTCAGAACCCATACCAGACCTTCCAGTTCAGAACTTGCATTTTAACAGAATCCCCAGATGATCTGTATGCACATTAAAATGGAAGCCTAAAAATAAGTAAGTAAATAAATAAATAATAAAAAGCATTTTTAAAAAAATGTATGCATTGGCTTGGTAAAGGTAAACAGGAGATGAGTGGTAAAGGATGATATATCAGTGGCTAAAATAATAACTTATATACAATATGCAGTGGCCAAAATAGGTGCTTAAATTGTTTCTTGATGTAAGGTAAAAGACAGACTATATATTTAGACTGTTAGAGAAATTGATGGAAAAATGATAATATTGGTATGTTTAGGCTGTTTCTCACAGTTTTCAGAAATATCCCAAAGAAAGGATATTTCAAATAGACCAGATGATATTCATTCTTATGCAGAGATGTAAAAGTACACAGCAAAAGAAATCCTAAATCCTGCAACTGAAATTACCCAAAAGTTAAATGATTTGGATTATTCTAGGGCTTAAAAGCCAATTGCAGATACACTTCAAATTACTGAAGCAGTAAGGAATAGTTGCGGCAGAAGTATACCTAAACAGAAGTTAAGGCTGTGATCACAGGGTTTTATTTTGCTTTTGGTTTTCTGTTTGCTTTCTATTAAATGTTTTCTGAAAGTCAATGGGATCTAGCACTGAGACTATATCAGATTGGATGTGTAGCCTTCAGTCCCAGGCCTTACGAGAGCCGCCATTCATTTGAAGATGGAAGAGGTGAGCAGGGCACTGAGACAGCATGTGAAAGACAAGAGAATTCAATCTTGAAGTCTTTGGTTGTAATTTTCACATAGAATTGACTGGAAGCTAATGGTCAGGAATTCAGTTGGGCTTTTGAGGTAACAAGGTAACTATATTGCCAGAGGAACTTGAGATGGAATTTGGACAAGTCACAAATAAATTTCTAGTCTTCACCCAGCTGTAGCTTCAGGAACTATATGCTTCCCAAAGTCTTTCTCATTTGTGAGCACACAAGACAGTGGTCAGTCAAAAAAAATGTCCAGGAAGGCAAATTCAGATATAAAAGGAGGACAAAAGATAGGAAGCCCTTCTCAGAGATCTTAATCAGTGACTGCTAGACAGTCTAAGTACTCTCTTGCATACTCCTACTCAGAAGAATCTTACCATCGCTAATCCACTGACAGCTGAGATTTTCCAGTTATTCATTTTCAAATAAAGTTTTCATTATGATTATTATTTTTCTTTTCTAATTATATATGTTAGTTATATAATGAAAGGTAATTTATTTTTTAGTTTATTACCTGCTGCTCTCTGGTCGAACCAGATCTCACATCCATTTCTGATGGGGAGAACTATATGACTACATAGCAGAATCTGATCTGAAGGAGTTTAGGGCAAATTATTTCCTTTGTTCAACTTATAAGTGGATTATGTTAATCAGAAAAGGGTTATATTAATATGTGGATGTGTAAATAGCAAAGGAGTAGATTTTGCAGGGACTCCTTGTTGTCTAACCTATTATTATATTAGTCTTTGTCCTTTGTGACAGAACCTCCATTCATCATCAGGAAGGAGGTAGGAGAGGAGCATGACCCTGCCTTTTCAAGAAGACATTCTTGAAGCACCGCTTTTGCTCTTTTCCCACATTGACCAGAATTTAGACCTATGACAATAAAGGCTGGGAAATTTAGTCATTTTGCTTGGAGGATTGCTTACCTGAATTAAACTGAGTTCTAGTGGCTTCTGTACTAATGTTCCTCTTTATTAAAATATTTTCTTAATATTTTTACTAGAAAAAATTTCCTTATGCTTTTTTATTACTCTCATTTTCTTCTGTGACACATTCCTACTAATGTATGTTCTAGACTTAATCTATTCTTCTAGCACTACTCATTTTTCAGTTGTGTTCCTGTTATCTTTTCAAACAGCTCTGCAATAAATAATCCCTTAACATTACCACCAACAGACTGTTTTCCAAATCATTTGGTCCTAATCCTATTTGACTTCACTGGAGACATGTTGGCATAGTTGACCACGTTTCTTATTACTGTTTCTTCCTAGCCTTTCATGACATTAAATTCTTTTTGTATTCCTCTGCATATGTAAAAATACCACTAAATTTTTTATTTGGTTTTGCTTTCATAATCTTTGCTCTAAATTGAGGCACTTCTCATTGTTACTGTTTTTTCTTCTCTTTCAATATTTGCTTATAAGAACATGCTTATTTCAGCAAATATTAATTTCTTAGATATGCTTAGGAATATGTTAGATACCCTTACATATATACAGAATAATCTTATATCTTATGTTAAATAAAATGTCAAAAATGTAATTTATAGTCATAATATAGCAATTATGTTCTTGTTACTCTATATTACTCTATAGTAACTGTAACACATGCTTTTAAAAGTTGTAGCCAGTCTGCAGAAATGTGTGACTGACTTTGCCTGAGAGAGTCGGTGATGTTTTTAATAAAAGAAACCTCAAGATAGTAAGGCATATTAAAGCAAAACAGAATTTATTAAACTTGTGAAGCAAGAGAGACCTGACTTTGAAAACACAATCGCTTTCAGTGCTAGAGTGGTCTTAAATATATTACAGAGCATAGAAACTGAGAATTTGGATTGTCTCCAGCAGAAGTAAAGACCATGATGATTGGCTTTACTTTTGTTTCAGTATTCTCAGGCTTCTACTTTTAAAATCATTTTATTCTGGGCTTGTAGTTCATAATATGACTTAAAAAGTAAAATATCTTAAGGACTTATATTTTTCAAAGAACAAAATTTCTCTGATTTTTTTTGTTTATGTTGTATTCCTTGATGTTTACTCAAGTTAATTAGCTTTAAAGTTTTATAATATAAATGAGAGTAGAAGCATCCCTGTCCCAGACTTCAATGAGTTGTAAAGATCAAGTACAATTCTGAGCCCTCTTAATACAAATTTGCCATACAACCACAATTCCTATTCTACTATGGTTGCTCAATATTCACAAACATACACACACAACACACACACACACACACACACACACACACACAACACACACACACAAAACTATCTTCCCGGAATTCCAATGAAAAGTGAAGAAAATATATGCAGCAAAAAGCTCCTGTCTTCTCTCGTAATTTTATTCTTTTTTCTATAGCTTTCTACTTCTTCCCACTTCAAACCAAGGGACTGTAGAAAGTGGATTCCAAACTAACATTTAATTTATTATGCTCTGCCTTCCAAAATTCTCTCCTTCAGTCTAGGAAATGCTCTTCTCCACCCTTCTCCTCCTTGTAACACATTAAAATTGTTACTATGTGCACCATTCAAAATCTCTCTACTCACGGTGTGGTAGTCAGTACGATGTCCACTTAATTCAGCATTTACTTGCCCTTGATATTTCAGCATCAAGTTTTTAAAGCTGCACATTTTTTTCCCTAAAGCTTAGCTTTGAAAATCAGAAAAGCTTTGAATTCTAGGTGTTTGTGTCTGTAATGGACTTGAGTCCTATGCTTTAAGTTAAAAAATAGAGGTGTAGTATTTTTGTTCTAGTCTATGTTGCTTTCTCATTGAAATAATGTTTGAGTTCATTGGATAGACAGCTGTAGCATTACCTGTCTGAATTAACCATAAGAAATTTATATCAATTAATGTGTCAAAAATATTGAATTCCACATGGAATTTCAGCTACTACATGTAACTCATGTGTGGGTATTTCACCTACAGGCTCCAGTGGACCAGAAATGAATACATCTTTTGGCCCTTCATTTCAGTATCAACTTTCTATTATAGAGGTCCATAGATAAGATCACCAGAAAACAGGCAAACACATAGAATATTTTATTTACTGAGAGCAAAAGAATCAGTATGACAGTCTGGTTCATAGTAGAGGTAATAGATATTATCAGGACTTTGTTCACAAATAAAAGGGGAACCAAAACAGTAATATAAGGTGTGGGTGTGAGTGTTTGTGGTGGGGAGGGGGCAGAACCTGCAATACTCAAAACCTGCAATACTTCCAGAAGAAAGATCATGAAAGACCTCTTTCTGCCACAGTATTTCAGCTTGCCATAATCTCTTTTTAGTTATTAATTCTTAAATTAATTATTATGGCATTCTTAGACAAAAGGTTTCAGGGTTTTTATAAGCATTTTTATTCATTTAAAAAATATTTTGCTTTAGGCAAGGTGCAGTGGCTCACGCCTGTAATCCCAGCACTTTGGGAGGCCGAGGCAGGTGGATCACCTGAGGTTGGGAGTTCGAGACCAGACTAACCAACATGGAGAAACCCCGTCTCTACTAAAAATACAAAAAATTAGCTCGGCGTGGTGGCCCATGCTTGTAATCCCAGCTACTCGGGAGGCTGAGGCAGGAGAATTGCTTGAACCTGGGAGGTGGAGGTTGTGGTGAGCCAAGATCATACTATTGCACTCCAGCCTGGGCAACAAGAGTGAAACTCTGTCTCAAAAAAAAAAATTGCTTTAAAATCAGCAATAAATATTATGAGAAGTATATTGTATTAGTCTATTTTCATACTGCTATGAAGACATTCCAGAGACTGGGTAATTTATAAAGAAAAGGACGCTTAATGGACCCTCAGTTCCACATGGCTGGGGAGGCCTCACAATCATGGTGGAAAGTAAGGGAGGAGCAAAGGCATATCTAACATGGCTGCAGGCAAGAGAGTGTGTGCAGGGGAAGTGCCTTTATAAAACCATCAGATCCTGTGAGACTTATTCACTATCATGAGAACAGCATGGGAAAAATCTGCCCCCATGATTTAATTACCTCCCACTGGGTCTCTCCCATGACACATGGGGATTATGGGAGCTAAAATTCAAGATGAGGTTTGGGTGGGGACACAGCCAAACCATATTATATATGTTATGAAACTTAACTGCCACTGATCTTGTTTTCTTTGGTAGAGCTTCAGAAACATTGTCTTCTATAATCTCTGTTTAATTAAAGAAAATTGGTAGATGGTGCCTCTTGTCAAAATCCTATAAGTTGTTCTGTTTAATATGCATGTTTTAAATTGATTATCGATTACTTCACTTTTTAATTTTTTATTTGACGTGAGCATTCTGTTGCAACTACAATTCAAACTATTAAAATCTCACTATATGATTTCATTGCAATCTTTATTCTTCTTGTATATTTTGTTTTGATAAGTATGATTACCTTCACATGTATCTCTCTATAAGCTAATATTCTGTCTTATTGGTGATCAATAATTAATTGTTGGGTAAGCATAAAACCATTTTCATATTCAAGGTATATTCAAAACTTACCAATTTGATTCAAATAATTTTACAATTGTCCTACTTATTTTATTTCTATCACTACCATGCCACTTAAATCCTAGTAATCCACGAATCATCTACAGCAATAATTTCCTAACAGATTTCCAAACTTCCTCCTTATTTTCTGTTCGTTATACTTTACTCACTACTATCAGATCATTTAATTCCAGAGCAGCAATATTCATTCTTTCTTTTTGTTCCGACATCATTGTTTGTTTATATCATGTTCAAAATTAAGTCCAAGCTCCTAAGCCTATGATGCAAGGTTTTCCAATAATTAATCTTAAGAACTTGTTGAATTTATCTCACATTTAACTGCACTGAACTCCATACAGTCTTACCAAAATGTTCTCATTCCCAAACCTATTTTTCCTACCAGATTCTGATTTTTTTCCATGTCCCTTGATCAGTCTCCTTCTCCTTCTCCTTCTTTTTAAATGGAGTCTAGCTCTGTCACCCAGGCTGGAGTGCAGAGGCCTGATCTTGACTCACTGAAACCTCCGCCTCCTGGGTTCAAGTGATTCTCCTACCTCACCCTCTCAAGTAGCTGGAATTAAGGCATGCACCACCATGCCTGGCTAATTTTTTTGTGTGTGTATTTTTAGTAGAGATGGGGCTTTACCATATTTATGGCCAGGCTGGTGCTGAACTCCTGAACTCAAGTGATCCACCCACCTCGGCCTCACAAAGTGCTGGGATTAGAGGCATGATCCACCGTGCCTGGCTCACTATTATTCTTACATTTCCATCTAGCCTATTTGTTTTTCAACATAATGTGTATAGTAACATCTTAAATCTACCTTCACTTCACTTGACAGAGTTGAGGGATTCCCAGATAGCTGGTAAAGCATTAGTTCTTGGTGTGTCTGTGAATGTGTTTATGGACGAGACTAGCATTTTATTTAGTAGATAAAGTAAAGATGATCAACTCAAGCCAACGTGAGTGAGTATCCCTCAATCTATTGAGGGCTCATCCAGATAGAACAAAAAGAAAACAAAAAGAAAAGGGAAAGCCAAACTTTATGTCTCTCTTTCTGAGCTGGGACATCCATCTTCTGCTACCATTAGACATCAGAGCTCCTGGTTCTCTGAACTGTGGTTCTCCTTTTCTTTTTTTTTTTTTTTTTTTTTTTTGAGACGGAGTCTCGCTCTTTCACCAAGGCTGGAGTGCAGTGGCGCGATCTCGGCTCACTGCAAAGTCCGCCTGCCTGGTTCACGCCATTCTCCTGCCTCAGCCTCCTGAGTAGCTGGGACTACAGGCGCCCGCCACCACGCCCGGCTAATTTTTTGTATTTTTAGTAGAGACGGGGTTTCGCCATGTTAGCGAGGATGGTCTCCATCTCCTGACCTCATGATCCGCCCACCTCGGCCTCCCAAAGTGCTGGGATTACAGGCATGAGCCACCGCACCCGGCCTGTGGTTCTCCTTTTAACTTCAGTACATCTACCAGCAGCCTCTTAATTCTTGGACCTTTGGCCTTGAACAGTGAGTAACACTATCAGCTCCCCTGATTTTCAGAAATTCAGACTTCATTGAATTACACCTACACCGCTGGCTTTCTTGGTTCTCTAGCTTGCATATTATGCAGGTGGCATATTATGGAATTTTTGGCCTCGATAATTATATGAGCTAATTCTCATAATTAATCTATATATGTATATCTTATCTATCCATCTATGTACCTATCTATATCTCCTACTGGTTTCATTTCTCTAGAGAACTCTGCCTAATACAACTTCCATCTGTCTCCTACCACACAATCTACATTTATCATTTTTATTAATGATAATTATATTTATCTACTATACCAGCTTTTTTATGGTTTTATGAATATATCTGAACCCTAACTTTATTATAATATTATTAAAGAAAGGATAGTACATGCATTCATCTTTATGTTTCTTCTGAGCTCCTAACAATAATTTTCCAATAAAGATTTTGGGTGCAAACTTTCCTAAAAAATAGAGATAAAGCCAATAAATTATACCACAGCAAGAATAACTAAAAGGAGGTTGGCCAGAAATGAACACATCTTCATTCATTCACTAAAGAACATTTGATTGATGGCTACCAATATCCAAATCTTATGCTGGATGGTCAGGAGAAAATGAATCATCTTTCCAAGAAATGTACAATTAATTTTGCCAGGACAGATAGTACCTAAATAGTCTATAAAAGTTTTAGAGTTTAGAAGACAAATAAAAGTGAATGGCTACTTTCTCTTGAAGCCAAAGATGAGGCAAGAAAATTTTCATAGCAAATAGAACATTTGAGCTGAATGCTGAAATTAAGTAGACGTGTGCTAATAGGAAGGGTGAGAAATAATACCCTGGGTGGATGATGAAGGATGAACAAATATTTCAAAATGATATCATGAAACTGTATTTTGAGCCACGTTGTCTCTCAAACTGTATCGTGCAGGTTTAGGTGTCAAGAAATGGGCTAGAGTGATGTACTGGTACCAAAAATGGAGGCATTTGAATGCCATGTTAAAATGCTTGGACTTTAACCTCTGTAAAATAAGGGACTAATGTGATTATGAGATATAAAGTGTATTCGTTTTTCATAAACATTATCTTAAGGTAAGCATGGAGGATGGAGTGAAGCAGGGTCCTATGGAAGGAAAGAAAGCAATGAGAAGGTCATAGTAAAAATATTAAGCAAGACACGGATCATGATCTAGCCCTAAAACACTAAATTTGAAAAGGAAGGAAAAAACTCTAGAGTGGTTAAGAAGGTAAAAGATCAAGATTTGTCCATAAAGTGCATCTGAGAGTACAGAAAAAGCAGGTGTCAGGTATCTCATATTTCTGATTGATAATAATGGGGTGGGTAGTTGTGTCTTTTATTTAGACCACTGAGAGATAGCAGATTTATTTTAAAAAGGTTGCATTTGATTTATATACAAAATATAACGGTCATAGTTTGGACTTAGAGAAAAGGCTTGTATTTTGGTCTGGTTCTTACTGAATGGAAACCCTAAGCAACTTGGTTTTACTTCTTAATACTTCATATGTGTAGTGTGTATGTGGAAAACAAATCTGATAAAACTGTTGTAAGAATTGTACACACATGGTACAGTGCTTGGTAATCAGTAGGTACTTCACAAATGATAGGTAATGAGGAAAACTATCATCATTAAGTTAATGGGGTATTGATGACCATTTAAAATGCTTGTTCGGATTTAGAAATAATGTCTGTATCATGTGGCATTTTTAGTTTAAAGCAGATATACCTTCAGGATCTGGAAATTGTTAACTCTACTGCTATATAACTAAAGATTGTCAATGCCCCAACAATTGTGAATATGAATGCAAGAGAAATACGACTAAGTTATGAAAATGTTCTTGAAATAGTTCACTACTCTGTGTAGGGAAAAGGGACCCAACCTCAACATCTTTTATTTATGCCAAATTTAAAAAGGAAAGAAAATAGATGCTATTCATGACTTTTTATTGATCTTATTTCTAGATTATCTAAACTGTCCCCCAAATTTTAATGCATTTTTAAAATTCCAATAACTGACTCTCTATTTAGGTCCAAGTCAAGATTATTGAGACAGTTGTGTCACACTTGTTTTTCAGATACATGTAAGTGTTTAAAAATGTACTTGGAAATTACATTGGGAAAATATATCCCATTTTCAAGGTAATGTTATACAAAGAATTTAAAAACACTTTCTGTGAAAGTTTATCTTTAAAACAAATATGTTAAATATCAATGGCATTGCATATTTAAAGAATGGATCACATTTATTTTTCTAAAGAAATGAATATTTATAATCCACTGAATTTAAGAAAAGCACAATCTAAAAATACAAGACAGGTAATATTTCAATGAGAACATTTAGGTTTGATGAACATTCAATAGTATTTTAGTAGTATCATAACACCACATAATTATTTTAAATTACCTTTCCTCCCTACTCATCTTTTCCCAAGAAGACTGCATTCTTTTTAATGGCTTTTATATTTATAGAAGACACAAAACTGTGTTTCCAGTCCAGGCTGCTCCCTTGAGCTATAGGCATATAGTCAACTGGAACTAGTTACTTTCACACATGTATGTACAGGGCACAAACATTTTTATCCTCTAGCCCACTTCTTCTAAATCACTCAAGTGGTATGTGTTAAACCTGCTTTCACCAATCAACACCAGACCTATAAAAAGTAAAGGGATTGAATCAGTAACCAAATACCTTCAACATAGAAAAAATCAAGAACAGATGGCTTCACTGATGAATTCTACCAAATGTTGAAAGATAAATTAATACCAAATTTTCTCAAACTATTTCAAAAAAATTGAAGAAGAAGGAACATTTGCAAATTCATTTTAGGGGACAGCACCACCCTGAAAACAAATCCAGACAAGGACAATATAAGAAATGAAGATAATAGTTCACTATCCCTAATCAACATAGGTACAAATGCCCTCAACAAAATACTACAAAATCAAATTCAACAGCACATTTAAAGGATTATACACAATGATCAAGTGAAATTTATCAGTAAGATACAAGGATGGTTCAACATTCACAAATCAATAGATGTGATCCACCACATAAACATGATGAAAGATGAAAAAGACATAAATCTTCTCCATGGATTCAGCAAAAACATTTGACAAAATTCAACAAGCTTTCATGATAAAAACTCTCAGTATATTAGGTATAGCAGAAATGCAACTCAACATATTAAAACCCATAGATTACAAGCCCATGGCTAATATCACACTCAATGGTGAAAAGTTAAAAGCTTTTTCTCTAAGATCAGGAGCAAGAAAAGAGTGCTCGCTCTCACCATTTCTATTCAGCATAGTATTGGAAATCCCAGCCAGAGTAATTAGGCAAGAAAAAGAGACAAAAGTCATCCAAATTGGAAATAAAGATGTAAAAGTCTCTTTCTCTTTGTATATGACATAATCTTATACAAAGAAAACGCTAAAAATATCAACAAGGAACTCTTAAAACTAATAAATGCATTTGGTAAGTTGCAAAACACAAAATTAGCAACACAAATCTGTTGTGTTTCCATACACTAACAATACACTATCTGAAGAAACAATTAGGAAAATATACCCATTTACAATAGCATCGAAAAGAATAAAAGAGTAAGGAATAAATTTAACCAAAGAGGTAAAATATTTGTACACTGAAAACTATAAAACATTTATAAAAGAATTTGAAGAAGGCATATAAATGCAAAGATATCCTGAGTCCATGATTTGGAATATTTAACATAGTTAAAATGTTTGTACATACATCTAAGGATTCAATGCAATCCCTATCAAAATCTCAATAATATTTTTACAGAAGTTGAAAAACAACCTTAAAATTCGTATGGAATTGACTGGGCAGGGCGGCTCATGCCTGTAAATCCTAACACTTTGGGAGGCCAAGGAGGGTGGATCACTTGAGCTCAGGAGTTCAAGACCAGCCTGGCCAACATGGCAAAACCCCATCTCTACTAAAAATACAAAAATTAGCCAACTACTCAGGAGGCTGAGGCAGGAGAATTGCTTGAACCTGGAGGCAGAGATGGCAGTGAGCTAAGATCACACCACTGTGTAATAGCTTGGGTGATATAATGAGACTCTGACTCAAATAAATAAATAAATATTAAAACAATAGTTTTAAAAATTAAAAAATTGTATGGAATCACAAAAGGCCCCAAATAACCAAATTAATATTAAGAAAAACAAAGCTGGAGGCATCATGCTTCCTGATTTCAAATTATATTAAGAAGCTACAGTAATCAAAACAGTATGTTACTGGCTTAAAAACAGATCAGTGGGTCAAAATACAAATCTCAGAAATTAATCTACACATATATAGTAAGGTGCCAAGATGATGCACTGGAAAAATGAAAGTCTCTTCAACAAACGGTGTGGAAAAACTGAATATCCACATTAAAATAAAGAAGTTGGACTTTTATGTTGCACTGCATAAAAACATCAACTCAAAATCATTTAAAACCAATTCCAAATAGATTAAAGGCATAGAATCTGAAATTCTAAAACTCATAGAAGAAAACATAAAGGAAAAGATCATTGGCATCAGTTTCTGGCAATGATTTTTTTTAAATTTGACATCAAAAGCATAGACAAGTGTAAATGAACAAGTGGAATTATATCAAACTAAAAGCTTTCTGCACAGCAAAAGAAATAATCGACAAAATGAAAGGCAACCTACAAAATGGGAGAAAATATTTGTATACGTTTGTATGCAAGCCATGTATTTGATGAGTTTAATATCAAAATATTTAAGAAATTCAAAGAGCACAATAGCAAAAAATTAATGATAACAAAATTACATAATAAAAAAACAGTCTGAGGGCCTGTATAGACATTTCTCAAAAGAAGCCATACAAATGGCTAACAGGTACATGAAAATAGGCTCAACATCACTAATTATCAGGAAAATGTAAATATAAGGCACAATAAAATGACATACCTATTAGCATGAGTTTTATCAAAAAGTCAAACTATAACAAGTGTTAGAAAGAATGTGGAGAAAAGGAAAATTGTGTACACTATTGATGGGAATGTAAATTTGTACAGCCATTACAGAAACTGTACAGAGATTGTATCAAAAATCAAAAAGAAAACTAACATATGATTCATCAATCCCACTTCTGGTATATATGCAAAGGAAATAAAATCACTATCTTAAAGAGATATTTGTGCTCTTTGTTTATTGTGATATTATTCGTAAGAGTCAAGATATGAAAACAACCTAAGTGCCAATGGATGAATGAATAAAGAAAATGTGAGATGTATATATATATATAATATATATATAACCATACGTTATATATATATATGTGTTACATATATAATCAAATATTATACAGCCATAAGAAAGAAGACAATGCTGGCTTTTGCAACAACATGGATGAAACTGGAGGACAATTATGCCAATTGAAAAATACCAGACACAGAAAGTCAAATACTGAATGATCTTACTTATATTTAGAATAAAAAAAAGGAAACAAAACCCCTCAAAGTTAGAGAGTAGAATGATGGTTACCAAGGGATAGGAGGGTTCAGAGAAAAGGAGAGATATTGGTCAAAAGATACAAACATTCACTCATAAGATGGATGAGTACTGAAGATCTAATGTGCAGCATTGTGTCTAAAGTTAATAATAATGTGTTATACACTTGCAATTTGCTAAGTGTGTGTAGTGTTTTCATCACACAACATACACAGAATAATAACTATGTGAGGTGCTGAATATGTTAATTACTTTGATTGACATAATCATTTCACAGTGTATTAGTATATCACAGTCTGTTAGTATAACAAAACGTGTTGTACATCCTAAATGTACACAACCTTTATTTGTCAATCATATCTCAGTACAGCTGATAAAAAATGAAAAGAAATTTTGTCTCCATATTAGAAAACATCTCTTCAATACAACATAAATATCAATTATTGACAAAGTACTTTTGATTTTACCTTCACACCATTTTTAAACATTTTCTATTCCTTTTATTAGCACTTTCACTAGGAACGTATTTAATTCTTACTCAGATTTTTTCCTGCCTCTATTCTTAGTCTTCGTCTATTTACCTCTCTAGAAATGTCTCATCTACACTAAATATTGAAATTTTTGAAAATATAATTATTGATTATACAGTTATCCTATTTAAAAACACTTTAATGACCTATATAGACTTACCTAGATCTTCCCTGTGTCCATAGATTAAACTCTTGCCAAGTATTCATTGCATTGTGCTATTTTCCACTACAGGAAGTTTTCCAGTAACCTCAGATTCTGTAAAGCACTGCAAATTTTTATGTTTTAACCCTATTTCCTTTTTTTTCCATTTATTATTTCTTGCCACTTTCCCTCTAAATGTTTCTGATATTCTAAGTCCAAACCCAGGCCCCTTCAATGGAATGGCCCATTATCTTACTTGTATATCTCATATATGCCATACATTCTTTTTCATAACAACCTATGCTATCATTGGCAATGTACATATCTTGCCCTACCAGATTGGGCAGCCTTATGTTCATTAGCTATCATATCATATCATGAGACTCATGTCCCAGTATCTATAGGGAATAATAATTATATAAGTCAAAGCCATTTAGTGAGCACCTACAATGCCTCTGTGACTATATTAACTCATTAATATATTTAATTAATTAGTCAATTAATTAATTAATTAACTAATTGATTAACTAATTAACTAATTAATTAATATAGTTAAAGTCATACAGGAACTGTGACTATATTAACTCATTACTCTATTACATATAATTTGTGAGATGAGAAGAAGTTAAGTAAGTTACTTGAGCTTCTTCATTGAATAAGCAGAATTCCTGGAATGTGAAATGAGGCAACCTAGCTCCAGAACCTGTAACTACCTCTTTGCTAAGTTGTAATTAAATGATTGAGTAGATGGCTGAAATATGTGAAACTCATGTGGATGTAGGAATTGATGATTTTTTTTTACTAAATGTACATTCAGAAAGAAGTGAAGTGTCAGAAACTCTAGACTTTGGTGATAATTTAGTTAATATCTGTAAGACACTTAGAATAAGGTTTAAAAATGTTCAGTAAATGTGTTCTATCTCATTTACCATTTTTAAGGACTTCCTATAAGCTGGGTACTTCAATAAAAACTTTATATAGATTATCTCTTCCCATATTTTTATCAATCTTGAATATTATTTTAGCCCATTTATCAGAAATAGGATAGAAGCTTAGAAACTAAGTAATGGCCCAATGCCACACACATAAGTGATAGAAATAAGATTTTAACATAGTTCTATCAGTTTGTAAAATTTATTTTTAGAAAATAAATTTCTAAAGAAAATAGAGAAAACTTAAATAGATTTGTACTTCAATAAAAACTTTTTATAGATTATCTTTTCTCATCCTTTTAGCAACCTTGAATATTCTTTTATCCCGGTTATCAGAAATAGGATAGAAGCTTAGAACCTAAGAAAATAAGATAGAACCTAAGTAAACAGGATAGAAGCTTAGAACCTAAGTAATTGCCCAGTGCTACACACATAAGTGACAGAAGTAAGATTTTAACATAGTTCTATCAGTTTCTAAAATTTATGTTTCCTGTAGTTCAAATGATCCACTACGAGAATGTATATAAAAATTTTAATTAAAAGGTAATGCCATATACGTGACAATAGAAGGATTCTTGTTTAAAATTCCATGTTATGCCTTTTCAATTAAATTATCTTTATAATTCTTCTTTATATGTGAAAATGACTCTTAAGGTACATTAAAAACGACAATTCAACTTTGAGATAAAATGTATAATTTTACCTATTGAGTATTGTCTCTATGCTTGAGGACAAGTAAGTGTTAATTATGTTTACCATTTGTCATGGAATAATTGACATCTTCTTTTCTCTTAAAACACATTATTTCTTTCTTTTTTATATGTGAAAATGACCATTAAGGTTCATTAAAAAGTCCTAAAGAAAATAACAATGAGATACAACTACACACCTATTACAATGGCCAAAATAGAGAACACTGACAACACTAAATGCCGACGAGGATGCAGAACAACAGGAACTCTCATTCATTGCTGGTGGAAATGTAAAACGATATAGCCATTCGGAAGACAGTTTGACAGTTTCTTACAAAACTAAGCAAATTCCTACCATATGATCCAGCAATCATACTTGGTGTTTTACCCAAATGACTTGAAAACCTGTGTCCTTAAGAACACTTGCACACAGATGTTTATAGCAGCTTTATTCAAAATTGCCCAAACTTGGCAGCAACCAAGGTGTCTTTCAGGAGGTAAATAGATAAATAAACTGTGGTACATCCAGACAATGAAATATTGTTCAGCACTCAACAGAAATGAGCTATGAAGCCATGAAAAGAAATAGAGAAAACTTAAATAGATGTTACTAAGTGAAAGAAGCCAACCGGAAAAGGTTACATACTGTATGATTCCACCTACGTGACATTCCAAAAAAAGGCAAAACTAGTGAGACTGTAAAAAGACTAGTGGTACAAAGGGTTTTGGAAGAGGATGAATAAATAGGCAGAGCACAGAGGATTTATAGGGCAATGAAAATAATCTGTATGATACTATAAGGGTGAAAACATGCTATTATATATTTATCCAAACCCATAAACTGTTCAACACGAAGACTGAACTCCAATGCAAACTATGGATTTTGGCTGATGATGTGTCCAGGTACATTCATTAGTTGTAACAAATGTACCCCTCTATGAGAGATGTCTATATTGGGTGAGGCTGTACATGTGTGGAGGCAGTGGGTATATGGGTATCTCTGTACCTGTCACTCAGTTTTGCTTTGAACTCAAAGGTGATGTAAAAAATAAAGTCTAATTTTAAAAAATCCTGAAGGAGGAAAATTACTTGAAAATAATTCAATTTAAGAGAGTGAACCCTGTTTGCATTTTTAATTTTTCTGTTAACTATATTATCTTTGATTTTTTTTAAACTCCGAAGGATTAAACTGAACATGTACAATTCCAGTTTCTATTTTCAGACTTAGATACCCCTCAACTGCTGTCAGCATGCTGTTAATTGAATGTTTGTGTGAAGAGGATAGCGTTTTCAAAAGCAAGAGCAAAAACTCTGTTCTCAGCTGTTTGATTTTGGTCTCTTCTTTTTTTCAATATATCTAAAGCTGGTTATAACTATCTTTTCTCAGTGTCTATTAATTTTGGCTTTTGACTTTCTGTATGGCAACTTCACTGCGGTATGTCACTGTTTGTCGCTCTAATATGTTTATCTTCAATAACTTCAAATGGCATAGCAGTCTCTCTACCATCTTAAGATAATTTTTAAAAATATAGTTATAAATATAAAAAAAGAAAAATTAACTGTGAAATGGAATCTTCTTCATATACATTTGTCATTTTTAAAAGGTGTTACCATGCTAAGAAACAAATACCATGTAACAGGAAGAGTCAAATCTGTAAGAAGTGAGAAGCCTCAAAAAATAATTGGATACAGGATACCGGGAACATTGCAGAGTAGGAAGTAACAGAAATACTTTCTCCACCTAGACAATTTCACTGGAAAGATCTGATCTATTTGATTTAACTATTTTGGAACTCTGGACTCTATTGGAAGCTTACAATGTCCAGGGGAAGGCTTGGACATAAATTGCAATTAATTTTTAGTTAATTTAGCTCTAAATTTGGCAGCAGATACATATTTCCTGCCCCCGACCCTCCCCAGTCTCATGACAGGCGATCTTGACCTTGCAGGAGGTTGGGGCAACCAAGAGGATAAGGACCCTGTTCTCCACATGTCAGCAATTTTATGTGTTCTGATCACAGCAGATTGCTGCTTTTAAGCTGCGGACACAGAGGCAGCTTGCTATTGTAAGTTCACTCCTCTATCTGAAGCCAACTCTAGGGCATTTAAAGAACCAGTTACTGTTTATCTCACTGCATTTTGTTGTTGATGTTTTTCCCTTCTCAGAGCCAGACATTACAAGTATGAAATTCAAAAGCAATCACATATATCAAGGAAATTAGAAAGTCACCACACTGCCCAGGAAAGGAGCAGACTTATAAAAGACCTAAGAAGACTTGAAGTTTAAACCTCAGAACCTCAGGATGATTTTGGACACAGAGACAGCCTACAACAATTATATATTTAATAGAATAAATAATAATACATAATACTGATGTAATGATAAAAGTAAATATATAATAGGTGAGAGATATATAATAAAGTATGTTTTTTACACACCTACACACATATAAAACTAGCAATTAGCAATATCCGGGAAGGGGAATTATCTGATTTCTAGAGTTACCACACTACTGCATTCAAACGTACATTTTTCAACCAAAATTTAACAAGGCATTAGGCACACAAAGAAAGGAATATATTGCTCATTTAAAGGAAATGAATAAACCAACAGAAATTTTTCATAAAAAGACCTGATAGTGTCTGTTCATATCGTTTGCCCACTTTTTGATGGGGTTGTTTGTTTTTTTTCTTGTAAATTTGTTTAAGTTCTTTGTAGATTCTGGATATTAGCCCTTTGTCAGATGGTTAGATTGCAAAATTTTCTCCTATTCTGTAGGTTGCCTGTTCACTCTGATGATATTTTCTTTTGCTGTGCAGAAGCTTTTTATTTAATTAGATCCCATTTGTCAATTTTGACTTTTGTTGCCATTGTTTTTGGTGTTTTAGTCATGAAGTCTTTGCCCATGCCTATGTCCTGAATGGTATTGCCTAGGGTTTCTTGTAGGGTTTTTATGGTTTTAGGTCTTACGTTTAAGTCTTTAATCCATCTTGAGTTAATTTTTGTGTAAGGTGTAAGGAAAGGGTCCAGTTTCAGTTTTCTGCATATGGCTAGCCAGTTTTCACAACACCATTTATTAAGTAAGGAATCCTTTCCTCTTTGCTTGTTTTTGTCAAAGATCAGATGGTTGTAGATGTGTGGCATTACTTCTGAGCCCTCTGTTCTGTTCCATTGGTCTATATATCTGTTTTGGTACAAGTACCATGCTGTTTTGATTACTGTAGCCTTGTAGTATAGTTTGAAGTCAGGAAGCGTGATGCCTCCAGCTTTGTTTTTGTTTTTGCTTTTTGCTTAGGATTCTCTTGGCTATATGGGCTCTTTTTTGATTCCATATGAAACTCAAAGTAGTTTTTTCCAATTCTGTGAAGAAAGTCATTGGTAGCTTGATGGGGATAGCATTGAATCTATAAATTATTTTGGGCAGTATGGCTGTTTTCACGATATTTATTCTTCCTATCCATGAGCATGGAATATTTTTCCGCTTGTTTGTGTCCTCTCTTATTTCCTTGAGCAGTGGTTTGTGGTTCTCCCTGAAGAGGTCCTTCACATCCCTTGTAAGTTGTATTCCTAGGTATTTTATTCTCTTTGTAGCAATTGTGAATGGGAGTTCACTCATGATTTGGCTCTCTGTTTGTCTATTATTGATGTATAGGAATGCTTGCGATTTTTGCACATTGATTTTGTATCCTGAGACTTCGCTGAAGTTGCTTATCAGCTTAAGGATATTTTAGGTTGAGACAATGGGGTTTTTTAAATATGCAATCATGTCATCTGCAAACAGAGACAATTTGACTTTCTCTCTTCCTGTTTGAATACCCTTTATTTCTTTCTCTTACCTGATTGCCCTGGCCAGGACTTCCAATACTATGTTGAATAGGAGTGGTGAGAGAGGTCATCCTTGTCTTGTGCCAGTTTTAAAGGGAATGCTTCCAGCTTTGGCGCATTCTGTGTGATACTGACTATGGGTTTGTGATAAATAGTTATTATTTTGAGTTATGTTCCATCAATTACCTTGTTTATTGAGAGTTTTTAACATAAAGGAGTGTTGAATTTTATTGAAGACCTTTTCTGCATCTATTGAGAAAATCATGTGGTTTTCGTCATTGGTTCTGCTTATGTGATGGATTACGTTTATTGATTTGAATATGTAGAATCAGCCTTGCATCGCAGGAATGTGGCTGACTTGAGCATGGTGGATAAGCTTTTTGATGTGCTGCTGAATTCAGTTTGCCAATATTTTATTGAGGATTTTCACATCGATATTCATCAGAATTATTGGCCTGAAATTTTCTTTTTTTTTGTTGTGTCATGACTCTGTCAAGTTTTGTTATCAAGATGATGCTGGCACTGTAAAATGAGTTAGGGAGGAGTCCCTATTTTTCTATTGTTTGGAATAATTTTAAAAGGAATGGTACCAGCTCATCTTTGTACCTCTGGTAGAATTCGGCTGTGAATCTGTCTATGTGGCCAACAAACATATGAAAAAAAGCTCATCATCACTGGTCATTAGAGAAATGCAAATCAAAACCACAATGAGATATCATCTCATGCCAGTTAGAATGGCAATCATTAAAAAGAAAGGAAAAAACAGATGCTGGAGAGAATGTGGAGAAATAGGAACGCTTTTACAGTGTTGGTGGGAGTGTAAATTAGTTCAACCATTGTGGAAGATAGTGTGGCAATTCCTCAAGGATCTAGAACCAGAAATTTGACCCAGCAATCCCATTAGTGGGTATATACCCAAAGGATTATAAGTCATTCTATTATAAAGACAAATGCACACATGTTTATTGCAGCACTGTTCACAATAGCAAATACTTGGAACCAACCCAAATGCCCATGAATGATATACTGGATAAAGGAAATGTGACACATATACACCATGGAATACTATGCAGCCATAAAAAAGGATGAGTTCATGTCCATTGCAGGGACATGGATGAAGCTGGAAACCATCATTCTCAGCAAACTAACACAAGAACAGAAAACCAAATAGTGCATGTTCTCACTCATAAGTGGGATTTGAACAATGAGAACACATGGACACAAGGAGGGGAACATCATACACTGGGCCTGTCGGGGGGTGGGGGGCTAGGGGAGGGATAGCATTAGGAGAAATCCCTAATGTAGATGATGGGATGATGGCTGCAGACAACCACCATGGCACGTGTGTAACTATGTAACAAAACTGCACATTCCACACATGTATCCCAGAACTTAAAGTATAATAAAAAAAAAAAAAGAAAAGAACTGATGGAAGATCTGTTAGACAACTTTAAGACAACCGTCTTTAAAGTGTTCAAAGAGCTAAAGAAAGACTTGGGAAAGGTCAGGAAAATAATGTATAAATAAAACAGAATATATTTATCAAATGTACACAGAACATTTTCCAGTATACACAATATATTAGGCCACAATTTAAGACTCCCAAAAGTTTTAAAAGATTTGTATTATACAAAGTGTTTCAGCAACAGGATGAAGTTCAAAATCAGTAACAGAAGGAAAACTTTGTGGAAATTCAGCAGTACACTCTTAGAAAAAATCACAAAGGAAATTAAAAAATTAACTAGAGACAAATGAAAAGGAAAACAATACACACAAATTTAAGAGTCATCAGAAAGCAGTTTGTAGGTTGAAAGTTCAGATCAATAAATGCTTATGCTAAAAAACAATAAAGATCTCAAACTAACAACCTAACTTTAAAACTTAAGGAATAAGAAAAGGAAGAACAAACTAAACTCAAAAGTAGCATACGGGAGGAAATGATAAAATTAGAGCATAAATAAATGAAACAGGCAATAGAAAAGCAGTAGAGAAAATCAATGAAACTACAACTTGGATTTTTGAAAAGATAAAATTAATAAACTTTTAGCTAAATAGACTAATAAAAAAGTGAAAAGACAAATTACTCAAATCACAAATGCAATGACATTATTATCAATTCTAAAGAAATGAAAATGATTTTATAAAAACTCTTAGAAGAAAACATAGGGAAAATACTTTAAAACATTGGATTTGGAAATTTCTTGGATTTGACACTAAAAGCACAGGTAACAGTAGGAAAAATAAATTAGGATTCATAAAAATTAAAAAAATTGTGCAAAAACTTTCTATCAATAGAGTAAAAAAAGCACCCCTCAAAATATTAGAAATATTTGCAAACCATATATTATAAAACATAAATAATATAAGGAATTGATATCCAAAAATACAGAGAACTCCTAAAACTCAACAACAACAAAACAAATAAAAAATGAGCAAAGAAACTAAATAGGTATTTCTCTAAAGAAGACTATACAAATGACCAAAGGGTATATGAAAAAATATTCAACATCAATAATCATTACAGAAATACAAATAGCAACAACACTGAGAATCAATCTCACATTCATTAAGATGGCTACTATCAAAAAAATAAAATAGCTAGTGTTAATGATGACACAGAGAAATTGGAACCCTTGTGCACTGTGAGTGCAAGCAAAAGTTACAGCTACTGTGAAAAACAGTACGGCAGTTCATCAAAAGATTATAAATGGAATTGCCCTATGATCTAGCAGTTTCATTCTGGGTATATAATATACCCCAAATAATTAAAAACAGGGTCTTCAAGAGGTAGGTATCTACACATCCATGTTAGAAGCAGCCTCATTCACAAAGCTAAAATACAGAAGCAACCCAAGTGTTCATTGATGAATGAATGAATAGCAAAATGTGATATAGATATACAATAGAACCTTAAAAGGAAAGAAATTCTGGTGTATGCTACAATGTGGATGACTCTTAAGGACATTATGCTAAGTAAAATAAATCACAACAAAAGAGATATTGTGCAATTCCACTTGTTTGAGGGACTTAGACCAGTCCCTCATTATCCAAATTAGACAGATAGCAAGTAGAATGGTTACCAGGGGCTGGGATGAAGGGGGAATTGGTGGTTGTTGTTTAACCGGTATAGAGTTTCACTCAGCAACATGAAAAGCCTAGGGATGACCTGTGGCAATGTTTGCATAGCAGTACAATTGTACCTGATACCAAGGAAATGTACACTTAAAAATAGTTAATATGGTAAATTTAATGTTATATGTATTTTACCACAATGAAATTTGACAAAATAGAATAAGCTGATAGTAATTTTAAAGAAGAAAATTTGATACCTACATCAAGTCCTTTCTAACTATCTTTTTCTGCTTTCCCAACCAAGGAGGGTGGGAGCTGGTATTTGAGTCAGAATCTGATTAAACCATTTTTTACAATTTAGTCAGTTCTCGGTATAGTAAAAAATAACATTTCAGAAATAGCTTTCTTCAAATTGCCTGTTTTCTTCTTCAATAACCTAAAGACAACTAAGAAGGTTCATATTTATTAAGAGAGTTCTTTTTTTTTCAACCATGCCATGAGGGGAGCTGCTACATGCTGGTATGTGTACGTAGAGTTTATCTTAGTACCAAGACATGTCTGTCTGTCTGTCTGTCTGTCTGTCTGTCTCTCTCTCTCTCTCTCTCTCTCTCTCTCCCCCTCCCTCCCACTCTCTCTCTTCTTATAGCAACATGATGTATTTATAGTCTTTCAAGTCTAAAACATCTTTCAACTTTGGTTTCATTAGAAATTTTCATTGAGATGAAAGGCAATAAAATAGATATAAATACAGATTCCTAGTCTTTTAAGTATATGTAGTTCTCTCTAGGGAAGCAGTACAACAAAATGTTAAATCAGCAGGCTTGGGTTGCTCAAACCCTGCACATTCTATAAGTAAGATCTTTCTTCCAACCTGGCCCTTCACTATCTCCTAGAAGATTAAATGTGAGCCCTTGGGTTATTCTGCCTGAGTAGAGAGTTTTTGTATGCCTGAGGCTTGGGCCATGGGGTATCATGTTCATGAGAAAAATCATGCTAATAATGTATTTTACCATAAATATCTGTTTTTTTCTCTGGGTGGCTAGATTCTGGGTAACTGACTCTGGCTAGATTCTGAGTCATGTAGGTGCTGCATGCCTAGATGACTAAATCTTCTTACTCACACACGTAAGAAAAACACACACCCTGGACACCAAGGCTCAAATGAAAGTCAAAAATGCTTACCTGGTTGACACTCCTTCATACAATGTGTCACATATAGCTGCCAGGAAAACTGAGGCTTGTCTGTGTGATGCCATTAGAAGAGGACACTCAAAAACTTGCACCTGATTTCTCCTGGACTTTACTCCATATACCACTCACTTTATTAATAATACGTGTATTCTTTAAATTTGATAAACTATAACCATAACGACAACAGCTTTTTTAAATTCTATGATTTTAGACAATTCATTGAGCCTAAGGGTGGTCTTAGAGATTCCTAATACAGTAGGATTTGCATATTTATTGATATTCCATGTCACTATTAAAATAGCCTAAGCTCCCCACTCCATTTTAAACGAGCAATTTATCCTCATCTGATTTTTCTCCTTTCTTGTACTTTTTGCTTTTCTTAATCTACCATATGGTATGTGAATCTAGGTAAGTCTAGTTGGCTTAATATTTTTCTCTTATTTTCAATGTAGCAGGGTAGGTGAGCTGATTGGTACCCTACTCACCACCTTAAGTCCTTTCACTGACAAACATATCATTTGGGACTACCTTTTGGGTTTGTTTGAAAATAAAAAAAAAAAACTTGCAATAAGCTTGAGACATAAACCATGCATGCTAATCTGACTTTTACCAGAACTGTGCACTGGAAGATAGAGGGTCATTGGATAAATATTAGAAAGGGATACTTTGATTTGATTCTATTATTTTCCCTCATATCTTTAGCTTATTGGTAACTGCAAGAACAGAAAGAGTAATTTGCAGCAGAAAATTTTGTCCTGCAGTGTCTGAAAGGTTATATCTTTAAATAGCACCAAATACTAAATAATATTCCAAATGACAAGGCTTTCAAAAGTGTCTTAAGTTCTTGGAAAGTAGAAGAATAGTGCTAATTAGTTCTAATTACTTGCAATCGATATGTCAAAAGAGAAAGCACTCAATGCTTCTTGTTTCTTATTTTATTGGCCATGGGAACCAGTAAGCTGGGTGATCACAGTCCTTTCTTCTTCAGCTAATGACTGCATGTGTCATTAGACAATTAATTCTTTATACTCTAGTTTTTCCATCTGCTTTGTAATGATGTTGACTTCAGAGGAATGCTATGACAAACAGTGCCATATTTTATGAAAATTACTTCTTACTATTAGTCTAGATTTAGTAATTTCTCATTATTCTGATGATAAATGTCCTTAAATAAAAATAGGTAGAAAACCTCAGAAGCAAGATGGCATTGAAACAGGTTGTGTAGGTTTATTGCAAAGTTGTGATTCTCTAGATCTTTCTGTTAAGTAATAGGACCAAATGATCACATTTATAGTGGCACGCATAGTAGTTTATGAGTGGCAGTATATGTGTGAGTGTTTCCTTTGTGCTACTGCCTTACTATATCTAGGATGTAGGTACTTGACTTAGAGCAATGACCAGCACAATGTGAATCTTACTATTCATAATAATAAAATTATTTTTAGAATAACAAAGTTAATGTCAGTGTTTCTTCACAACTAAAGACTATTTCCTACAAATTCTAAGGGACAGCAATGCCAATATAAGTAGCTCCTAAATTCACAAAACCCAATCAGTTATTTACCCAATCAGTTATTGAAGAATTTATAGTCAATGTATTGATGTCATTTTGAGTAATTTACTGTCATTCAGCATGTAATTTTTCTAATTTACTTATTATCAAATGTATGACAGATGGGTCAAATTCATGGAATGAATAACATAGCACTAATAGGCCTGCTTAATATCTTCCTTTCAAAATCCTGAAGATACTAAATTATCTTATGTAAATCTACCAAATTAGAAAATGAGGTATCTTAATAAAGAATTATTTTTCACACATCCATTGCATGTGAAGATACATACTCAAAGTAGAAATTTTATAATTACTCAATTAAAATAAATCATAAAAATCTATTTTTAATTGAGTTATTTGATCTATTAACTTGCTTTAGCTATTCACCTTTAAACATAGTAATCTCTAGAATTTAAAAGACATTTCAACTAGGAAATCAAAACCATTATATTTTTGTAGTCTAATCAGCTGATGCTTAGTTCCTTGTGGTTTTCACTATTAATACAGCAATAGTTACAGCAAGAGTGATCATTTAGTTTGTGCTTATTATTAGAACATACTTTCTTAACAACAATGAGTGACTTAGGGGGAACTCTGTTCAAGGTTCATAGCTGAGAGAACTAAAGCTAAGAGCATACAAGCAGTAAGTAACAGAAATGGAATGCTCAGCCTAAGCCAAAGCCATACAACTCTAGAAATAGCACTGTGAACCACTTCACTATGCCTTTCTTATGTATTGCCAAATCCTATACCTTAGTCATATTCACTGCAAAATGAATGACTGGCTTTCATGATACTGACATTGAGAATTAAATGTTCAATGTATTTTTATATTAAAGCCATAGTTGATTCACGTTTTATAAGACATTAATGCTACCATTCATTTAGTCATTTATGAATTCATTATTTTATGGCTAATGATGAATGAGCATCCAATACTGATCAACACTTTAACTTGGGTTAAAAAGATTTTGCAAAGTTGCTATGATATAATAAATAGATAGAAGATATATAATTATATATATAATGATATACCTTTTATGTCTTATATAATTATATAGTATATATATAGTATATATATAGTATATATATAGTAATAATAATATATATATAATTATATATGTAATATATAACAAAATAATATACATTATATAATTTATATATTTTATAATTATATATAATATAATAAATAATGTCATATATTACATAATATATACAATATACAATAGCTATATAATATATAATATATACAATATTATATATTATATTAATATTATATATTATATAATATGCAATATATAATATATAATTATATATTACATATTTTATATAATTATGTATATTACATAATATATATAATTATGTATAATTATACATAATTATATATATTAAATATATATAATTATATATGATATACCTTTTATATCATATATAATTATATATCTTCTATCTATTTATTGTATCTTCTGTTTTATTCAGCAATGTAATGAAATGTTACTTGTGCTAACTTATTCAAACCTATTAATGGCCTACTCGTAGGTACAACTATTTGCCCCATTTCACAGATTAGACTAATCAAGAACAGAGAGGTTAAACAAATTACCTAGGGTCACTCAGCTAATAAAAGGAAGAGGTAAGGTCTGAAGTTAGTACACAGGCAGCAAAGTCCATCTCCTTAATGTTCAGGAAGAAAGATCAAGATACATAGAGAAGACAAGGAACTAAAAAAAGCAATGATATACTGAATAGTAGTTTTCAGATATTTTATTTGAAACAAAAAATACCCAATAGCAGAATATAATGTTCTTGTTTAGATTTTAAAGAAATACTTTTGGTATATTTTTGTAAAAGTGTTTATTTTTTATTTGTGCTATATTTTATTTCAAACTGATTAATTCTTTGATTAAATAATTCAATGTAAAATTATTTAAGTAGAGTTTTCCATGAAATAAAATATAGTTTATATGTAGACAATTTTTAAAATAATTTATTATAGATAATTTCTTTTAAATTATCTAAAATATATGAACGATAAGCAAACTCTTCAAAATCAAAGCACATAGTATCTTTCCGAGTGTCTTGGATTATTTCTCAAAATTTTAATTGTAACCATCAGTTAGACACTATATTTATAAGCATCAATTTTTTAGTCTTATAATTCCACAATTTTGTAATGGATATATTAAAATTTAATATTTAAATTTGGGAATAATGAAGCTAATTATCTAACACTGACAATTGGTTTCTCAATTGCGTTCCCTCTGTGTACTTTATTTGGTACCAATGAGGAACAGAAGGAGAAGCTAAGCAATAAAAATATTTCAAAGGATTTGACATATCCCAATTTAGTACTTACTATCTGTCAGAGACTAGGTTGTGATTTAAATTTTTGATATCTTGTTTGCATGATAAAGAAGGTGAAAATAGGTTCTTATTAGTTCTTTCACATTGCAATGATTTTTCTGTCTACATAGATTTTTAATGAAGAAATTAGTAATTAGGAATGTTCTGAAGCTTCTTTACAATGGCACTACTAATAAGGATAATAAGGCTAAATACTCATGTTTACAACTAAGAGTCTTTTGATATGTTATGAAAAAATATTCAAATATCCCATATTATATATGATTTCAGGGTTAAGTCCAAAAATTGAATTTTTTTATTTTATTCAAGAAATAGTGTGTAAAAAGAAACTGATAAATTGTGTATTCTTATGTTACTTCAAATTGCAAGGAAAAGAAAATTATAAGTCCACAAAATTGGAAATTTATTATATGTTTGTGTGATAAGAAACCACATTAAAAAACACACATTAATAGTAGCAGATTATTTAGACACTGAAGATCAAATGCACACATTCATTTAAAAAGTATTTGGGATGCCAAGGCGGGCGGATCACGAGATCAGGAGATCAAGACCATCCTGGCTACATGGTGAAACCCCGGCTCTACTGAAAATACAAAAATTAGCCGGGCGTGGTGGCGGGTACCTGTAGTTCCAGCTACTCGGGAGGCTGATGAACCCGGGAGGTGGAGCTTGCAGTGAGCCAAGATCGCGCCACTGCACTCCAGCTTGGGTGACAGAGCGAGACTCCGTCTCAAAAAAAAAAAAAAAAGTGTTTGAATCTTTAACATGTGCCAACTCTTGTAGTAGGCGCTAATAGGTATGGTAAACAAAATGGGCATGTTCTTTGCTTTCTTTTTAGGAAAGAATACAGAGAAAATTGCACAGTTCAATGCAAAATTATAGCTCTAGTAAGTGATCTATTTGGGCATATACGTAGTGTTAGTCTCAGTAGTGGGGCAGATAAAACCTTTTTGGGAAAAGTGACATTTGACATTGAGAGATTTAGCCAAGTGCAGAAGAAGAAAAGTGTTCCAGGCAGATGAACACAATGGTATGCAGTGGCAGAGGTATCATGACATTTTGGAGGAATTGAAAGAAGCACACATAAGTGAAAGTGTCAAGAAAGACAAGGGAAAGAGTATAGTGGGCACTAAGAGTCAGATTAAAAAATTCAGACAAAATATATATGTACATATGTGTATATAAATGTAGGTGTGTATATATACACAAAAGATAAACCATTAAAAAATGAATTAGTGACAATATCAGATTTACATTTTGAAAATTAATTTAGGCTACACATTGGATATTGTAGCAAGGAGGTATGGATACTGGTGTGTCTGTTAGTTGATAGTAGTAATCTAAAAAATGATAAGGAAAATTCCGATTAAAATCATGTTAGTGGAGAAGGATATAAGCACAAAGATTCTAGAATTACCAAAAAAGTAAAATTGTAAGAACTGGGCCATATCTTATAAGGGATGAAACACCTAAGGAGAGTCGGAAATGATCCCCCCATTTTCAGACTGAGAAATTAGATAAATGATGGTGCCAGTCATGAACAGAAGGAACATAGAAGTGGACCAAGTAGAATGAATAAGCGGTGAATTATTTGACCATCATTCAGTGTTTATTTAGTTGAAATGTGTATAGATGTGAGGGATTCTTAATAAAGTTGGAAGCTGATACATATAGTAATTAGTGGCTGAGATTAATGCCTCATAAAGTACTGACAAGTTATTTAATTTCTCCAAATCACACTTATTTACTTTGTAGCAATTTGATACAAACCAGAACAATCAAATCAGCTTTTTAGCTGTATATATCAAATTGTTTAACATAATTGTATACCTATTTTCTCCAACCGCCAAAAAAAACTCCAGGTGATATGAGGAGACATTTATTAATGTATTTTAGGCTTTCTAAAAGATGAATGAGAATATATTGTAACTAATAATAGTAGAACATTAAGATGTATTACTAGTAGCAGTAATAAACAGGAATAAAAATAATTTATGCACATGTACATATTATATATGCTAGGAGCTGGAACCATTGTTTTTCTAATTGTTAATAACACTTGCATCGACGTTGCTGAGTTGATCATACCCTAGGTCACTTGAAAACATCAATGAAGAGTTACATATGTTGCTGAAGTTAATCTTCCCTTTTGGAGCAAAGCCAGTTTGTAATTACAAGTGGCTCTTGAATTTTCCTATTAAATGAGGTCTACATAAGATACATGCTGTTTTCTGTACCATCATTTCATGTATGAGTGTAGTGGCATAAATGTGTGGAAACGTGTTCATTCATCATTTTGCTCTAGTTTTAGAGACATGTTCTTCGAAAATTTACTACAAAATATTTTCTAATCTGGGAATATAAAGCTTTGGTTCATCATAGTGGTGTCTATTTGATTTGGGTATCTCCAATATCTTACACAGAAGTTGTTAAATTTTGATGCTACAGAATAACACACAAATACGAATGTATTTATTTTTCTTGGTAAACTAGGTAACAGAAATGAAATTCTTGGTGTATTTCCTTGACTCCTATAAGTCATCTCCAATTTAATCTTCAAAGCCAGAGGACACCAAAAATTCCTGAAACTTCAAGCAGATGGTAGAAAATACCTGGTTCTTAACAAGAGTAATAAAAAATCTATAAATCCGTTGCCTAGGCAATCATTTTGGACTTACAATTTTTTTATTACACTAATATCAACATTGCTATAAGAACTGTATTCTTACATATGTATACATGTGCACATGTACCCTGGAACTTAAAGTATAAAAAAAGAACTGTATTCTTACCCCATTATAACAAATGACTTTACATACAGTAATTCTAACACCGTTTTTGCTAATAAATAAAAATAAATAAATATTTTTATTTATTATTTCTTAATATTGAAGTAAACTTTTTTAGTGCAATATTATTTTTGCCCCATGTCAGCAGCATGAGAATGATGCTTCTTGCTAATTTACCAATCACCCAACTTTTCTTTTCTTGACTCCCCTCTCCCTAGCCCACTCCATGAAGTTCACACTAAGCCTACCAAGACTTTCCCAGCATTCCCATTTTTCCCACTCAACCCTACTCATCTCAGTCTGAATGCATTTATTATAATATTTCCCAATTTTAAGGGCTCCAATTAGTTGAAGAGGACTAAAGTTGAAGGAAACAGTAAAACCCAGGAAGAACCACTGTTAGTGGGTCTTATACAATTATTTCATACTTTACAAAGATCTCAAATAAATCATTTATACTCTATCACCAAGACCAGCAACTCAATTATTTAATTTTTAGAAAATGCTTACCAAACAAAACTCTTCTAGACTCAGACAGCTTTATACTATATCAAATTTTTGTGTTAAAGAAATATATATAGATATTTAATAAATTTTTCTATATTTTTATAATCCTCAAGAGGGGAAATAAAACAATAAGCAATTCAAATATTGTATTTCAATATTTTTTATTCAGTTCAAAGGCTTTCTGAGAAGGTGGAACATGAATATAGCAGTATTAAAATTGACACCAGTAACGTTTTGCACTGTAATCACCACCTATATATAATGGAATGTAGAAAGATATATGAAAATGCCGTATTGAAACAAAAGCTATAGTTTACTATCGAAAATATTGCAGTTACTAAAAAATAAAACAAGCAATTCTTCAAAAAATATCAAAATATCAATGAGAGAAAAGATTGTTGGAAGATAAAATCAGATAAAAACATTTGGTTTAGCTAACAGTGATCTCACAAGTCTTCAGAATAATATTAAATCCAGCAAAGCTCTTTCAACACAGAGCAGAGGAGAAAATATTTGCAAATCATGTATCTTATAAGGAATTTTTATTCAGAATCTGTCAAAAAATATAACTCAATAATAGAAAGACAAATACCCCAATTAAAAAATAACCAAGTGATTTGACTAGGCATTTCTTCTTCAAATAAGATATTAAATGACAAAGAAGCACACAAAAAGATGCTCAATAGAATTAGTCATCAGGGAATTTCAGATTAAAGCCACAATAAAATACCACTTTACATCCACTAAGATGGCTATAATAAAAAAGACAGGCAATAGCAACTGTTGTCCATCATGTGGAGAAATTGAAACCCTCATGCATTGCTGAAATATAAAATGCTGCAGTTACTTTGGAAAACATTTGCATTGTTAATCATAGAGTTACCATATAATGCAGCAATTCTATTCCCAGGAAAGCGTGAAGAGAACTAGAAACATGTGGCCCTGATGGAAATTGTACATGAATATTCACAACAGCATTATTTATACTAAACCAAAGAGGAAACAATCCACATGTCCATCAATTGATAAATAGATTAAAATATATCTATACAATGGAATATTATTTCACAACACAAATAAAAGACTGATACATGTAATGACAAGAAAAACCCTTGAAAACACCATGCTAACTGTAACAGCGAGTCACATACATATTTTATAATTAAATTTATATGAAATGTCCATGGTAGGCAAATCTCTAGAGACAGAAAAGAAGATTGATGGTTGTCTTGGACAAGAGAGGAGGAAAGGGAGTAACCATTGATGGACTCAGAGTTTCTTGTAAGGATGATCAAAGTTCTAAAACCACTGAATTGTACACTAACATAAGAAAATTTTATGAAATGCAAATTACCTTGCAATAACGTTTTAATTAAAAAAAGGGAAAAATAAATAAACTTGTATGGCCTTTGGACAACTTTTCACCAAAAATTTATTCCTCACTTGATAATGAACCTAATGTTTTTATTTTTACAATCATACCTTGAGAAAGATGATTAAACTCTGTATATTTTAGTATAATATTAATTTATAAACGTTGCAGGTTACATTTGGACTTTATTAATTTAATTACATTAGCAAATAAATATACAGGTAAAGTAATTGTAAATAATGAGTATACTTACTCTTTTGTGTGGTATTTGGATTTGAAATGCAATACCTATTCACTGACATTTAGATTTTGAAAGTAAACAATTTAACCAAATTTTGAGTATGCAATTACTTTCATTTTGTTTCAATATTGCATCATTATTTGCATAATATATTGACTTTGGAACCATTATTAAAAACTATACTTGAGACATAAAATTTATGATAAAATATTTAACATTTCTACACAACATATGTTCTATGTATGTATGTATGTATGTATGTATGTATGTTTTGAGACAGTGTCTCATTCTGCCACTCAATCTGCAGCGTGGTGGAGCAATCTCAGCTTACTGCAACCTCTGACTCCCAGGCTCAAATGATCTTCCAGCCTCAGTCTCCCAAGTAGCTGGGACTACAGGCACGTGCACCATGCCCGGCTGATTTCTTGTGTGTATTTTTGGTAGAGAAGGAGTTTCGCCATGTTGCCCAGGCTGGTCTCAAACTCCTGGGCTCAAGCAATCCGCCTGCCTTGGCCTCCCAAAGTGCTGGGATTACAGACGTGAGCCACTGCACCTGGCTACATAGTTCTTTTTAAAGTTACAAATTGTCAGTTTGTCATTTTTTCCCCAGATAGCTTTACCACGCGTTTCATACTATGGCTTCTCAGGTGTTGGATTTCAGATTGTTCTTTCTAAAGGTAGATAAATGAATTTCCATCACTGAACGACTTCCTAACTGGTTCTTTGATGTGCAATACTAGACTACTCAAAAGATTATATCGGCTTACTCAATTTTTCTAAGCCAGTAAGTGCCTCAAGTCTAGAACTCACTATATTTTTACTGTGCCTGTTATGCATACTTTTAACTACCATATTTAAAAAGTACCTTGTTTTTTTATTATTTGTATTTGTTCACTTTTGAAATGATTGGCCTCTCATTTTATATCAGGGTTGATATTTCTAAACTTTTGGAATTTCTTGGACTATGGGATCCTTCAATTCCAAAAGTTTATTTTAATAAGTTTTAACTTAATGTAAACATGAATCCTGAGAGTGAGGACAGAAATTAGGGTGGGGAAAAGTATCAGAAGCTAATTATCATTGACATAAATAATAAAGAAAAGAGGACGAAGACAGATAAATCATTCAGAAAATGTTGCTTACAAATTATTTGTATTTATAAAAAGATAAAGTAAGAAGGAAAAATAGATAAATTTTCAAGGAGAATAGTAAAGACTGACAAGCTAGTCCTCTGAGTGATTGAGTACTGCAAAGACAAATAGACTGAGCTAAAACAAAAGATGAGACTATCAAATCAAACTCATGAATCAGAGCTCTTTTCCAGTGTCAAGCTTTACTGATAATTTCAAGGATATAAACACTGAAGAGTAACAGGCAAAGCAAGAAGATGCCTATGATAGCAAACATGGTTTTGTAGGTCATTTTTCCTCATACTGAATTTATTCCTGGGGACAGAGTCATAGATGAGGCTACTAATTAGATAACTCAGAGTACCTCACACAGCAGGGAGTATACAGGTTGTAAAATATCTCCACTTTATACTCCAGCATAAATGATGTTTTTTAGAGTCTGGTAAGTCCATAGAGGCTAAGACTGTTTAACTTAAGCATTCCTAAACCAGGAAAATTCTAAAAATATTTCAAAAATAAGGGGTCTTCTCCTAGAAAACACCATTATTTATTTACCATGAGGTGAATTACTGGAATGCCTGGAAGGAGATGAAACCAAGCTACTGCTTTCTTTGTTTCCTGGAAGTTGGAAGAGGAGACACTTTCAGGCGTGCATAATAGGGGGCTTATGTAGGACTAGAACTAAGCCTCTCAATTATACCAAGCTATCCATGATAGACCAGGGATCTGATGAGAATCCCACTGACTTCCTGGAAAGGCTAAGAGGGGCCTTGGTAAAGCACACCTCTCTGTCTCCTGATTTAGTCAAGGAACAATTAATCCTAAAGGATAAATGTATTATTCAGGCAGGCCCTGATATCAGGAGGATGCTGCAGAAACAGGCCCTGGGAACTGAGAGTACTTTAGAGAGCCTCCTGAAAGTGATCACCTCGGTGTATTACAATAGATCATTGGAATAGATTCTTGGATTCATTATACCTGAGTAAAGAACTGGAAAGCTGACAGAGTTACCTCTGTTAACCCAGAAGAGAACACAAAGTACCAATGTGAGGAGATCGGGGACCTCAAGCTAAAAATCACACAAGATAAGTGTTAATAATTAACATTTCATGAATATCCTCTTCATAGTCTTGCCTATGCTTGCTGTCTTTACCTTTGTTCTGTTCTATACCATGGGGTACAATGTTGTTTTCAGAATGATTAGTATATTTCACGTCTATTTCTGTAATATTTGGCATTAGATTCTCTCCTTTTATCTCTTTTTGTATAATACACATATTTGATGCATGCATACTTAACCTTGTAAGTCTTGTTTCTACTAGCCTAGAGGCCATCAAATTCCAATCAGGCAACTGAACCCTTGGACTCCCTTTTGCCAGGGACCCATAGATAGACCTCTGGGAGAATTCTAACTGCTTTTCTCCCCAAAACAATGCCCCTGTCATCAGGAAGTAGCTGAGACCAGTCATCATCCATATTTTAATGGCAGTTAGATATGCCTCCCTCGTGAAGGCCCCAACCCTCAAGCCTGGAACCATGCAGCCCAAAGTGAGAACATACATTCCTGTTTTCCTGCTTGACTGTTGCCTTTTCCAAAAGCACCCATGGCCCACTCTGCCCCACCCATCCTGTGCCCATAAAAACCCCAGGCTCACCAGCAGAGGAGAGGAGGAGAAGAGGAAAAACAGCTGGACATTGGAGACTATGGTTTGACATTGGAGAGAAGCACCTTGACTTCAAAGGGAGAGCTTGATGGTGTAGCTTTGGAAAGGAGTCTGGCTAGGGATGGCTGGACTCCAGGAGATTATCTACCTTTTCCATCTCCTTTTCAGCTCCCCTTCCCACTGAGAGCCACTTTCATAGGCAATAAAATCACCCACATTTACCATCTCCAATTTGTTTATGGGACCTTATTCCTCCTGGATGCTGGACAAGAACTCAGGTACCGGTGCAAAAAACTGTCACACTAACCCTCCGCTGACCTGTTAACAAATAAGCCATCCATGGATGGCAAAGCTAAAAGACAACCGACTATAACACTCTTTCTGGAGTTTCAGGGGTCACTGGCAACCCCCTTGATGCTGCCACAGGGCCTCATAGAGTTTTGCTCCTGCCAGTGTCCAAAGGCACTTGCCCTAGCTCCTGCACCTGCTCACCTGTTCTCCCCCTCCTGCAAGGGGTGGAACTCAGCAGGACCAAGTGAGTGGAGTCCGCCTCTGCTAGCACGGAAGCAGCTGGCCAGTCCTAGTGCCCGTGCACTCTAGTTCCCACCCACAGAGGGGTTAGGGAAAATTTTCTGCTTCACTGGAAGTGACGTCATGGAAATGGGGGTGAAAGGAATTGCAGGAGAGCTGCTTAACTCCTTTCTTCTGCAAACAAAACTCCATACAATCCAAAAAAATGACAGTGAAATAATATTTAAAATTATAGAATAAAATGATGAAGAAAATAAGTGTGTAGGCTGGGTACAGTGGCTCACATCTATAATCCCAGCACTTTGACAGGCCAAAGAAGACAGGTGGCTTGAGTCCAGAACTTTGAGATCAGTCTGGGCAACATAGCAAAACCTCCTGTCTGCAAAAATACAGATATTAGCTGGGCATGGTGTGTGCACCTGTGGTCCCAGCTGCTAGAGAGGCTGAGGTGGGAAGATTGCTTGAGCTCAGGAGGTGGAGATTGCAATGAGGTGAGATGGTGTCACTGCACTCTTGCCTGGGCAACGGAGTGAGACCCAGTCTCAATAAATAAATAAATAAATAAATAAATGTGTAACTTTAAGACAAAGACTAAATGTCAATTTACAAGGATAAATTAAATATCCATAATCGTTTTTTGTTTGTTTCTTGGTCTCTGACTCCTCTGACGAAGAAAGTGAGTGTTTAAGTGAAGAGATAGAGCAAGAATTTGTAAAAAGTATCTGATGTCCAAAATTTGTAGAGATCCTTAAATATAACCAGTACTTAATTATAAAGTGCTTTCCTCCAGAATCACTGAAATACATGGTAAAAAAATGTTCAAATTCAATTGAGAAATTATGGGTTCAAAATACTGTCTTCAGAGGAATGCAGTAAGAAAATACTGACACTTCCAAATAAGGAAATTACATTCTTTAGAATATTGTCAGGATAAAGAACAATGGAACTACAGAACTTATCAGGTGCCAGGCATTGTGCTGCTTGAAAGTTGCATAGAGTAATTTGAAAGTGATTATGTGGCTATAAAACTTAAATTTGTAGGGACAAGTTTTAAAAGTAGAGTTGAAAATTAAATAAAAAACATTTGGGCTGATATTAAAATAATAAAATATTTTGTTCTCCATTTGTGAACAAGATATAGACTCATAGGGAAAATTTTACTAGTGTATGTTGTTACATAAGTAACTCATTGAACAATGATGCCTAAATAGCATGACCTTTTAAAAGATTTTCTTGGTTTTGATGTAGTGATCCATTTTTTTATGTACTAATCACCCCTTTAGTTGTAGAAAATAAGAAGCTTCTATATGTGACAGGTATTCAAGATAACAAAAATGTAGGATCCTGAAGGAACTTGAGATACTATAGTTTGGTAGCAAGTTTTAAAAGTTGGAATGTTCAGAGCTAAATATTAGATGATGGACATTATTTCAAAAATTTAACTGAGCAAATATAGGAAAACATAAGGAATCAGCACTAACAAGTGGGAAAAATATATTATGGAAAATAGACTGCAGTTAAGTGTAATATGCAGTAGCTTGAAAATGTAGATGTCAAAATTACCTAGTGCAGCATCAGCTGGCTTTAATATTTTTATGGTATGGAACAAGGTAATATAAGCCTTGTGGTATTTTATGTTGTCTGGTCACTGTTGAAGAATTGTATTCCATTCAAAAGGCGAGATTTAAAAATAAGACTTTTGCTTTTAAATCACATCATGCTAAAAGCCACTAACGTATCTTTCTTCATTATCACATAAAATTATCTGGAGACTATGCAAAATACAAGTGTCTGTCCAACTTGAGGATTACTCCAGTTAAATTTTATTTACTAAAGGAAAGAAAACATTTAAGATATACGTATAATAACATTACAATTCACTCTTAGAAATAAATTGGTACCAACTTTCACCAAGTAGGTAGGAAATGGATTTGGCATTTCTTCACTAGGTTTACTTAGAAATGCAACATCTTCTTCCACCAGAAAAGGATTTAACTCACTATCCAACTATCTAAGTACATCATTCCAAGTCAGACAGGGTGTTGCCAGCCTCACTTCTACTACTTATGGTTTAGGTGGAAAGACTGTGGAGCATAGAGGCGAATGATTGAAGCAGTCATGTGTATAATGTTTATTACTCTTGCATAAAGAATTGTCATGGAGAGATATAATTGAAAACACCAGGGACTGAGTATTCTGGGCTGGTTAAAAAAAATAAATGTAGACTGCCTTACCTTCTTTAAAGCAATTTATATCGCTTCTACTGGGAGTGATATAAAAATTAAATAAAAATTAAACAAAAAATAAAAAGATTAAATTAACAGATTAAATTTAAAAAAGATTAAATAAAAAGAAGTTAGCTTAGTATCATAGAGCTGCATTATATGATGCCTGCTACACAGAAGCAATTAGACCAGGGCCTGAATTATGCCTGATACCTCCAGGAGAGCAAGTTCTAAAGTCCAAATAGAGACTGATTTAGACCAAAGTAAATTCACACACCATTTCTGGGCAGAAAAAATATACAAAGGAACAAAAACCTAAATCACAATAGATAAAATACCAAGGAAAATCAGCGGGAAACTATTACAAGTTTTAAGAAAAATACTGAAATACAAAGAGAAAGAAATAGCATTCAGAGGGCTAAAAGAAAAAAATAAGATAAATGTCAATTTTCTGAAGAAAAGTGAGAAAACGTTCAGGTAACTTTAGCTTCACATCCATGTTACCAGGGAAAAATAATTGGCCCCTATGCAATCATGGCAGGAGACTATATAGGAAAAAAAAATGAGATGGATGACACAAAACCAATAGTTAAATTCTGGTTAGTCACACACAAATGAGACCAATAAGTCATATCATAAGTCCAGATAAGTTTTGGCTGCAGTACAGTTTAAATGTAAAAAATCAAAACAAAATTTTAATGTAGGTTACTTTAAAATAAATTTGGAATAAGAAAATCATTTCAAAGTGTCATGCTGTAAGAGGAAGATTAATATTTTAAAATAAATAAAAATAAAAACACTACCACATTAACTGAAATAATAAAATTTCTAAAAACCTGCAAAAAATACTTGAAACACGGCAATCATGATTTAATATCCTTAATTTGTCCGATGATGTTATAAATGAAAGTATCTGCATAAAGTTAGAGGTCCATTAGAATTTTTAAGAGATAGTAAAATTGGGGCTTCAAAGCAACACTTCTCTGAACCAAAGTGGAGTTTTTACCTCTTGATTGCATAGGGTTTCCGTTTTATTTTATATCTTCTACTTGACTGCCCAAATAAATCAAATATTAATGGTACAACTTTTGTGTGTATTTTCTGTCAATATATATCTATTCTATTGTTATAATGATCCTGTATTTTTTAACTAAGTAAAATTCATCATCCTGTGAGATTTCTTTCATTTGCATGTGGAATAACCCAATAACAGAGAAGCAGAATTATTAGATGTTAGCCTATCTTCACAATTTGTGTGTGCATATTTAAACTTCATAATTTAGGATAAAAATATATTACCAATTTTTATTTTCACTTGTATTTTTCAGTTGTGTTTCCTTTCTCTACTACTCTTCTTTATCCCTATACCACAATATTTTTCATCACCAAAGCAGGGGATTTATAGATAACACTTTGATAATGTCTTTTAACAATATTGTTAAGGATGACATATTAAAGTGCCTTTTTCAATTTAGTCATGTTAATTATATGCTCTGAGACTAAGGTGGTGTGAGGTTTAGGTATGATGTCAGACTTAGCGCTAGGATAAGGAGATCTGTAATCTGTCTCTCATGTTACTTGAAGATGCAAATGTTTGTGTTTTATGCTGCTTAATGATGGTGCTTTGTATAAAGTGTCTTCTTAAAGATAGCCCTTCTAAAATTAATTGTTTCAAAACAAGTACCTCTCAGTTAATCTGTAAAAGTTTCAATGTCAAAACACATTTTGTTCAGGCATTTAAAAAAATCTTTATTCCTAAAATGTGGAACATATACACCATGGAATACTATGTAGCCATTAAAAAGAATGAGTTTATGTCCTTTGCAGGGACATGGATGAAGCTGGAAGCCATAATTCTCAGCAAACTAACACAGGAACAGAAAACCACACAGTGCATGTTCTCACTCATAAGTGGGAGTTGAACAAGGAGAACACATGGACACAGGGAGGGGAACATCACAACAGGGGCCTGACAGGGGGTCGGGGCCAACGGGAGGGAGAACACTAGGACAAGTACCAAAGGCATGCAAGGCTTAAAACCTAGACGACGGGTTGATAGGTGCAGCAAACCACTATGGTACATGTATACCTATGTAACAAACCCACACATTCTGCACGTGTCCCAGAAATTAAAGTAAAAAAAAAATCTTTATCCCTCATACCTGCTTGAGACTTTCTAATCATTCATGTGCATGATGATCGTGTAGCCCTCTCAACCCTCATGCCACCCTTCCTTTACTTGAAGGAGGAGGGAGGTTAAATTCTATATTACCATCCCTCCTTTTTCGGACATTTGAATCAGATTCAGAAAGCTTCATCTTGGATAAAACAGCAGACTTTGGCAAAATAGAGTGTTAGCAGTGGCTAGATTACCCAGCCTCTAGTTTTGTGGTGTGGTGCAGTGTGGTTGCTGAAATGATGATAACCAAAGCAGAAGCATTTACCTAAATCTCAATTTCAGCTGCAGTGGTGTGACCTAGAAGCAAAAAGCCTACAATAGCTCCTTAATTTCCAGTCCTTTAGCACTTCCATAGTTTTAAAGTACATATTTTGTATTACTATGATTATGATTGTTGTTATTTTGGCTTAAAATACTAATATTAATATTTATTATCTACATACACCCCTTATTAAACAAACTATAAAGATCTGTTTTTAAGACTGTAAGATTTTTTGTGACCGAGAGGAGCTTATATGTATAAAAGATTATTTAGAATTACATGGAGTTTACTATTTCATTGAAATGGCAAGTTTAAAAGGGCTAGTATTCCTTAATTAAGGTTTACCTATTTACAAATATATAAATTTTATGTAAAATAAAACATTCATTTTGAAGAAATTTTAATTATTGTCTGATTATCTCAAATTTAATACAAGACCCTTAAACAATAAGCTAATTAACTACATTTATATTAATGCTTTTAATTTTATTTTCCATGACTTCAAGAATTTGATGTTAACAAGCAGAAAAAGCACATTCTCCAAATACTTAAAAATCTCTTAGAAATAATGTAGTAAGTGAGAATATATTGATAAGGAAATTGGTAATATTTGCTAACTTTCCCATGCTGTTAAATATTTTAAACACTCTAAATAACAACCACACAAAGAGCGTTTCCAAATGTTACACAAAGATGCCCACTCTACAAACCGGATTAATTTAATCACTCTGATATTTAATTCTAAGTCTTCCCAGTTTTGTAAACCTCTTAGCTTCTAAGAAACAGACTTACCTCTGGGTACTTAAGTTTATTTGGTTTGTAACTTATGAGTTTCATTGACAGCAATTTCAATTTTAGACAGGATGGAGGATGCAGAAGCCAAGGCCTATAACCTGCACAGTAAATTCTAGCTGTGGTAGAGCTGGGCCCGTTATTTTCATATTTTCATCTCTAAGACAGTGGTCAGTTATAAGGCTGCATCCTTCAGATCGAATGGTTTCACTGCCTGCGTCTTATACATTCGTTATACCCATAGGTGATTCTTTCTTTAACTCGTTGACTGAAACCTACATAGTTTTAGTTCTCTAAAGCTACTTAATGGTTCTCAGGGCAGTTTATCACCTTTATTTTTTCCCAGACTGGTTCCCCTTTCTTAATCATATTCAATAGATGCAACTGTCTAAATAGTAAACAGAGACCTGGCCAACTCACAGTCCTGCCATTGAACTTGCCTGCTGCCTAATCTCTCCCTGACTGTCCAGAGATAACATCCTACAGAGATTAAATTTCCTCCTAAGGGCACACAAATGTATTAGAGAAGGATATCAAGTTTAAAAAACTAAGTAATGATGGTTTCAACAGTGTATGCACACGCTTAAACTCATCAAATTGTATACATTAAATAGCTGCACATTTATGTATCAACAAAGCTATCTAAAAAAAATTTAAAAAGCCAGCTGGACACTGGACATTTGTTAATGGGTATTACCAGCATTAACACCTAATTCAGAGCAAAAAGAAGCAATAATTTTTAGAATATGTAATTTTTTTCAGGTTACATCTACTTAATAAATAGTTCAGAATATTTCCTCCGATTTGGATATACCCTTTTTTGAACAATTGATTATGCATTTCCTTGTCTATATATCAATGTATTTTTTGAATACTTAGCCATTTTTTTCTTTTGAGAATATGAAAAATTTATTAGAGTAAGGCCTGAATATAATTTTGTCAACCATTCAGTGTTCATGAGATGGTACTGCATGGCTTAGAATTTTAAAATTTTCTAAGAATAATTTAATATAATGGTAAAACTAATTATTGGCTTCTCTGGCCTTTGCATGAACCCTAATAGTGTCACCTAAAATTTTATGAATGTAAATTAGGTGATGGAAGGATATTTAAGCTAGGGACAGCTTTAGAAATATTGGACTAGGGAAAAGGTTTTTGCCTTATTACGTTTTGTCCATACAACTCATGTTCAGTAAGACTACAGCCTATTTCCAAAATGCCTACAGGCTTCGTGACATCCATCATACCTCCTAAGAATGTGTCAACCATTCTGTTCCCTAAGCTTGGTTACTTTGAGTCTCATTAGGACATAACAACTTCTAAATGAGTGTAAAGAGAAAGGTGGCCCAAGTATCTGTTAGTGGAAACTTTCCATACTAATGTATAAATGCTCTATATTTCTAAAGTCATATTTTCATCTATTATTTTCAAGCAAGATATTATGACCTGCAAAAATATTGTGACGTTATCATAAACCTGAAATATTTACTAATTGGAAAATGTAGAATGAAATAAGCATAGATTTACATGTGTGCAGTTTTTCAGAAATATTGCACTGAAATCCCACATTCAGAAGCAAGCTATGTTATTCTGAGTTATCCAGAGAAACCGAGCCAATAGTATGTATGTATGTATGTGTTATAAGACATTGGCTCATGTGGTTGTAGAGACTGAGAAGTTCCAAAATCTGCAGTTAGCAAGCCAGAGACCCACAAGAGCCAATGGTATAGTTCCAGTCCAAATCCAAGTCCAAAGGCAGAAGAAGACAGACATCTCAGCTTGAAGACAGTCAGGTAGAAACAAAGTTCTCTCTTAGTGTCTTTTTTGCTCTATTCAGGCTTACAATAGATTGGATGTGGTCCACTCACTGTAGGCAGGGCAATGTGCTTTACTCAGTGCACTGGTACAAACGTTACTCTCATCCAGAAACACCATAACTGACATACCCAGAATATGTTCAACCAAATATCTGGGCACTTTGTGGCCGTTTCAAAGGGCCACATAAAATTGCTCATCACAAGTCCTAATAAAACAGCTAACAGTCAGACTTAAGCACCGTACCATTACTTTACTACTGTCTATTTGATACATCATATTGATATTAATGTAATTTTACTCGTCACAATTTTCTCCCTTTATTAATGGGTAATTATGTCCTTTAAATAATATCATTCTTGCAATTGGAAAATTAAGCAAAAGAGGGAAATCTGTTCATCTTCTTTCCATCACAGTGTAGCTACTTTCTCCCATTACTATTCCCATCCTGAAGCTTCTGTTACTTCCAGAGGAAGAGTCCCTTTCAGAGCACTCAAATAGATTTTCCCTTGGAACTGTACTTTATTCACTTTATTTGTATGGTCCCTTGTGTCTGAAACAGGTGAATTAAGCCTAGGACTGCCAAAAAAAAGTATCATCTTTGAAGTTCCAAAGAGAAGTGCCCTGGTCAAGGCTGTCAAACAGGAAAAGGTTTTTGTTTGGTTTTGTTTTTGGTAGGCATTGGCCACCTTTTCCTCCAGAATAGAGTCATGAACACAGTATTTAGGTTTTAAAGACAAAAGACTTGGCTTCTTATAAGATCTCTGCCAATTTTTAGGTTTCTCAAGTAACTTAACCTCTCTGAACTCCATTTTTCCGTTTTATAAAAGTCTGGCAGAGTCATTGTGAAATTAAATGAGACTATGTGTGTGAAATGCCAAGTTGTTAGAGCTTGATTCTCAAATAGCATCAGGATGGATGGTGGTGAAACATGATATTTTAAAAGAACAGTGTTGAAGTGACTAAGGTAAAAAGATTTAGAACCTGTTTCCTCCTCTTTCTTAACTCTCCTTTTTTTTCTTACTTCTCTTTTTTCTTATCAGGATTATTCTTTCTAATAATTCTCCTCCCTTAATTTTTCAACGTAAGATTTTTTTTTTAGTTTTTTTTGGAAGTCAGGAATGATGGCACACCTCTGTGATTCCATGACTAAATACATTACGTATCAAAAAAGGAGAAAAATCAATTTGAATAAAACCCTTAAATACAAATCTCTAGTACATCTGTCTGTCTTCTAATTTATAGTAATTATGTCTACTAATTTATAGTAATATAAATAATTATGTCTACTAATTTATAGTAAACTATTTATTTTATTATTTATTTATTTATTTGAGATAGAGTCTTGCGGTTGTTGCCCAGGCTGGAGTGCAATGGCGCGACCTCAGCTCACTGCAACCTCTGCCTCCCGGGTTCAAGCAATTCTCCTGCCTCAGCCTCCCCACTAGATGTAATTACAGGCGCCCACCACTATGCCTAGCTAATTTTTGTATTTTTAGTAGAGACGGAGTTTCGCCATGTTGGCCAGGCTGGTCTCGAACTCCCAAACTCAGGTGATCCACCCACCTCAGCCTCCCAAAGAGCTGGGATTACAGTCGTGAGCCACCGCACCCAGCCAAAATATTTACTTTTATAATGTTAGGAGAGAGCTAATCCAGGAGGGCAGTGAAGATACATGTGATCAAAACACAGAGTTGCCATCACAGGATCTTGCTAGAAATGCATGATTTCTTCAGATTTTTCAATCAAAATATATATTTAAATTAAATCCACCAGGTGGTTCATATTCTTGTTAAACTGTAAGAAGCATGGCTGCAGAACATTTTATTGATCAAAAAGGTGCTTATCCAAAAGTCTTTCTCTGAGAATGTTTAAGATATGGCATTGCCTACTACTTTAACATCTGACATTATGAATTCAAAAGAAACTGAAGATTCTTTGATAACTTGGTTCTTCTGATTTCTACTTAAATGCAGATTCTTCTGAATTAGTCAAAGCCGTAGTGTGGAAGGGAAGAGAAACCTGAGCCAATGACACTGCTCAGTTCAAGTAACCTCTTAGATTCTTCTGGTGACCTTTCTTTCTTTCCCATTGATATGGTTTGGCTGTGTCCCCACCCAAATCTCACCTTGAATTGTAACACCCACAATTCCCATATGTTTTGCAAGGAACCTGGTGGGAGGTGATTGAATTATGGGGAGGGCCTTTCCTGCGCTGTTCTCTTGATAGTGAATGAGTCTCATGAGATCTGATGGTTTTAAAAATAGGAGTTTCCAGTCAGGCATAGTGTCTCACACCTGTACTCCCAGCACTTTGAGAGGCTGAGGCGGGGAGATCACTAGGTCAGGAGATCAAGGCCAGCCAGGCCAACATGGTGAAACCTCGTCTCTACTAAAAATACAAAAATTAGCTGGGCTTGATGGCTTGCACCTGTAATCCCATCTACTTGGAAGGCTGAGGCAGGAGAATGGCTTGATCCCAGGAGGCAGAGGCTGCAGCGAGCCGAGATTGTGCCACTGCACTCTAGCCTGGGTAGGAAAGCGAGACTCAGTCTCAAAAAAAAAAAAAAAAAAAAATCTGTTTTGGTACCAGTACCATGCTGTTTTGATTACTGTAGCCTTGAAGTATAGTTTGAAGTCAGGTAGTGTGATGCCTCCAGCTTTGTTCTTTTGGCTTAGGATTGACTCGGCGATGCGGGCTCTTTTTTGGTTCCATATGAACTTTAAAGTAGTTTTTTCCAATTCTGTGAAGAAAGTCATTGGTAGCTTGATGGGGATGGCATTGAATCTGTAAATTACCTTGGGCAGTATGGCCATTTTCAGGATATTGATTCTTCCTACCCATGAGCATTGAATGTTCTTCCATTTGTTTGTATCCTCTTTTATTACCTTGAGCAGTGGTTTGTAGTTCTCCTTGAAGAGGTCCTTCACATCCCTTGTAAGTTGGATTCCTAGGTATTTTATTCTCTTTGAAGCAATTGTGAATGGGAGTTCACTCATGATTTGGCTCTCTGTTTGTCTGTTGTTGGTGTATAAGAATGCTTGTGATTTTTGTACATTGGTTTTGTATCCTGAGACTTTGCTGAAGTTGCTTATCAGCTTAAGGAGATTTTGGGCTGAGACAATGGGGTTTTCTCTATATACAATCATGTCATCTGCAAACAGGGACAATTTGACTTCCTGTTTTCCTAATTGAATACCCTTTATTTCCTTCTCCTGCCTAACTGCCCTGGCCAGAACTTCCAACTGGTACCAAAACAGAGATATAGATCAATGGAACAGAACAGAGCCCTCAGAAATAATGCCACATATCTACAACTATCTGATCTTTGACAAACCTGAGAAAAACAAGCAATGGGGAAAGGATTCCCTATTTAATAAATGGTGCTGGGAAAACTGGCTAGCCATATGTAGAAAGCTGAAACTGGATCCCTTCCTTACACCTTATACAAAAATCAATTCAAGATGGATTAAAGACTTAAACGTTAGACCTAAAACCATAAAAACCCTAGAAGAAAACCTAGGCATTACCATTCAGGACATAGGCGTGGGCAAGGACTTCATGTCTAAAACACCAAAAGCAATGGCAACAAAAGCCAAAATTGACAAATGGGATCTAATTAAACTAAAGAGCTTCTGCACAGCAAAAGAAACTACCATCAGAGTGAACAGGCAACCTACAAAATGGGAGAAAATTTTTGCAACCTACTCATCTGACAAAGGGCTAATATCCAGAATCTACAATGAACTCAAACAAATTTACAAGAAAAAACAAACAACCCCATCGAAAAGTGGGTGAAGGACATGAACAGACACTTCTCAAAAGAAGACATTTATGCAGCCAAAAAAACACATGAAAAAATGCTCATCATCACTGGCCATCAGAGAAATGAAAATCAAAACCACAATGAGATACCATCTCACACCAGTTAGAATGGCAGTCATTAAAAAGTCAGGAAACAACAGGTGCTGGAGAGGATGTGGAGAAATAGGAACACATTTACACTGTTGGTGGGACTGTAAACTAGTTCAACCATTGTGGAAGTCAGTGTGGCGATTCCTCAGGGATCTAGAACTGGAAATACCACTTGACCCAGCCATCCCATTACTGGGTATATACCCAAAGGACTATAAATCATGCTGCTATAAAGACACATGCACACGTGTGTTTATTGCGGCATTATTCACGATAGCAAAGACTTGGAACCAACCCAAATGTTCAACAATGATAGACTGGATTAAGAAAATGTGGCACATATACACCATGGAATACTATGCAGCCATAAAAAATGATGAGTTCATGTCCTTTGTAGGGACATGGATGAAATTGGAAATCATCATTCTCAGTAAACTATCACAGGAACAAAAAACCAAACACCGCATATTCTCACTCATAGGTGGGAATTGGACAATGAGATCACATGGACACAGGAAGGGGAATATCACACTCTGCAGACTGTTGTGGGATGGGGGGAGGGGGGAGGGATAGCATTGGGAGATATACCTAATGCTAGATGACGAGTTAGTGGGTGCAGCACACCAGCATGGCACATGTATACATATGTAACTAACCTGCACAATGTGCACATGTACCCTAAAACTTAAAGTATAATAATAAAAAAAAATAAAAAAATAAAGATATTATTTATCTTTTTTTTTTTAAAAAAAAGGAGTTTCCCTGCATAAGCTCTCTCTTTGCCTTCTGTCATCCATGAAAGACATGACTTGCTTCTCCTTTTCTTCTGCATCATTGTGAAGCCTCCCCAGCCATGTGGAAATGGAAGTTCTCTTTTTCTTCCCAGTCTTGTGTAGAAATTAAACCTCTTTTTATTCACAGTCTTGGGTATGTCTTTATCAGCAGCTAACTAATACACCTATCCACCCTAATTTTTGTTCCAAACATCCCAAACAGTTCCCAAGCATGCTTTCTCTAATTAGATCTTCTATCAGCCGCTGTCACAAGTAAAGTTATGACTTTCCCCATTTTATCATTATGATTATTATTTGAAGACATTATGCTTTCTTAATATAATATCACATATCAATAAGGTGACCTGGGAAATGTTAGAGAATTAGTCATATACCTGTACTTCTAGAAAGAAATCACATAGATCTTACCAGCTGCACCTACCATACAAAATAGCTTCATGTTATGCCCAAAATAGAAGAAAATAGAAGTGATAGTTCAGATAAAGTTTATTTTGATGGTCAAGTACAAAGATTATTCTAAAGAATTTTTTTTTTTTAATCTTTTGCTTGGTTCTGCTTCCAGACCTAATTTCCACTGGAACCATTTATCTGAGTAGTGAGCAGAGTTTAAGCAGAGCTCTCTTAAACAGATAAATTCTGATTACTGTTTAGTTTAGAATGGCAGTGGTTTCAGGATGTCATATCTACACTTTTATCTCTAGCTATCTTTTTAAAGTAAGTGAAGAAAGGCTAAAGGTAAATTAAAATAATAGCCAAGAAACTGGGCTAGTGCATAGTTTTAGAAATAAGGATGACTAAAATACTTTTAATAAAATATTGTATAAATTCTGATATTCTTATGTAATTGACTCTTGGGTTTTCTAAACAATTATACCTGTCATTTTAATTTTTATTATATAAAATATGTTCAGATGTACTTAAACTTGTCTAGCAAAATAGGGACATTAAAGGATAAGTTGGGCTGTAAAAATGTGCATTTTTAAAATGTTCATTTTTTACTGATATATTCTTTGGAATGTTTACCAAAATGTAAGATTTTTTTTCTTTCCTACAGCCAAAATGTTCATATTGAAACATGTTCTATTTTATCTCATACTAGTCTGCAAGAGGAGCTTTGCAATATGAGAAATTCAAAGAAACTTACGAGCAGGGCTTCATTATTATAGGTATCATTTCAGTTCATTACACCTAAGGGAACCCTGGATTATCAGAACTACCTATATTAGTGAATAGTTTAGTGGCAAGAGAAATCAGAATGTAATTATTTAAGCCTATTTTTTTCTTGCAAGAAAATAACTTTAATCTTGCAAAAAAAAATCTACAAAAGAACAAAGTTTCAGGTTTCAAATCACACTTAAAGGTCTACCTAATAATGACTCTTACCAAGTTATTGTATATCCTGTCATTTTTCTTATCTATGCAGTTGCATATGTGCATGTATAGAAAAATATGTAGCATGGTTTGTACTTTAAAAAAATTACAAAATGGTATCACACTGTTTTCATTGTTTTTTATTTCATCCTTATGATAAATTCCTACACACACAAAGACACACACACACACGACACACACACACACACACACACAACATGAACCTGAACAGTTCAAGTGGAAATTTTAGAATACGTTTAAAATTGTCAAAGGCTGAATCCTTCTTTAGTGTTCATCAATATCACACATATTTAGGAAAAAATATAATATTTGATTTAAAACAGGGATTAGGTGTTACATAATTAATATTTTAACATAAAGTTAAGTAACTAGATTTTTAAAAATATGTTATTTATGCTGTCAAATAACATTTTATTAGTGGGCTATTTAAATTACCATAGTTTGCCCACAGAATAATATTTAAACATATATTTTTGTATTTCTTCTGATTTTTGTTTTCTTTCACTCTGTAACCCCATTCATAGTAATTTTGTATTGCTGCCTACTCTTATACAAACATATATCCCCTTCCCTCTAGGACTTATGCCACAATTTGTAGAACTTAAATATATTATATTTTATTATTATGGCACCCAGCAGGGATTCTTTGGAATACTTTTATAGATTAATAAAAGCATTCTTCATCAAGCTACCATCTGCTAACTTGTCAATTTTATCTTGCCTATGCACAATGAAATACTACAGGGCTTGTAAAATCTGCTTAATAATAGAATCGATTTAGGCCTAGAATCATTATGCTTTTTAAATTTATTTTTCTTATCATGTCCATGGGAGTCAGTAATAGTGTTCACTCTTAGGGACTTAAAGAAACACATGAAAAGTGAGCACAGGCATATCACACTACTACATTTTTCCCTTCCTTTAGGTGCTCTATAACTGTTAAAATTTCTTCATACTTTTGGATATGGCTGTTTAATATAGGTCAATTCAATATGGCATCTTAAGTTCCATTAGGCAAATTCGATTGCTCCTCTACTAAAATGAAAATCTATATCAATATTTTTGTTTAACATGCTGAAAATTGTTGTCACCAAATATTTTGTATTATAATCAAATACTTAGTTTTATATATGTGTGGATATCAGCAAGAAAGTTTAATATAGTTTAACAATACTTGTGTAAGTCAGACTTCTTAATTAATTATTATCAGAAAATCATTAGCAACTTACAAAAGTAAATTTACTGAAAATACAGTTTTGAGTAGTTGTATTTTGGAACATTCTTTTTTGCTTTATATTTTGCTCTTTTCCATATATTTATCTAAGAAATATCTAGGTTAATATTTTCTTTTAGCATGACTATATTTTCTTGGTAATTTTTAAAAAATTACTGTTAATTCTTTACATCAAGGGATAGGCACAAACATTATCTAATTTAGACAGAAAAAAAGAAATCAGCTTATGCAGAACATAGATGTAAGTAATACTGTTTTTCTAAATTAATATTATATTGGTATCAAAATGTAGCTTATTCATGAAATACACAGACGTGTTGTTTAGAATTTTTTTTAACTTTTATTTTAGGTTCAGGGGTACAAGCGAACGTTTGTTACATAGATTAACTCGTGTCACGGGGGTTTGTTGTACAGATTATTTCATCACCCAGGTATTAAGCCCAGAACTCAGTAGTTATCTTTTCTCCTCCTCTCACTTCTCCCATCTTCCACCCTCAAGTAGACCCCCGTGTCTGTTGTTTTCTCCTTTGTGTTCATAAGTTCTCATCATTTAGCTCCCAATTATAACTGAGAATATGCAGTATTTGCTTTTCTGTTCCTGTGTTAGTTTGCTAATAATAATGGCCTCCAGCTCCATCCATTTTTTTCACAAAAGACATGATCTTGTTTGTTTTTATGACTGCATAGTATTTCATGGTGTATATATACTACATTTTCTTTATCCAATCTGTCGTCAATGGACATTTAGGTTGATTCCATGTCTTTGCTATTGTGAATAGTACTGCAATGAACATATGCATGCATATATTCAGAACAAATATTTATTTGGGTGCATAACCAGTAATGGGAATGCCGGATCAAATGATACTTCCACTCTCAGCTCTTTGAGGAATCACCATACTGCTTTCCACAATAGTTGAACTAATTTACACTCCCACCAACAGCATGTAACTCTTTCCTTTTCTCTGCAACGTCACCATTATCTGTTACTTTTTCACTTTTTAATAATAGCTATTCTGACTGCTATGAAATGTATATCTGTGTGGTTCTGATTTGCATTTCTTTTTTGAGACGGGGTTCACTCTATCACCCAGGCTGGAGTGCAATGGCATGATCTCGGCTCACTGCAACCTCCGCCTCTCGGGTTCAAGCGATTTTCCTCCCTCAGCCTCCTGAGTAGCTGGGATTACAGGCACGTGCCCCCACGCCCAGCTTTTGTTGTTGTTGTTGTATTTTTAGTAGAGACAGGGTTTCATCATGTTGGCCAGGCTGGTCTCAAACTCCTGACCTCAGGTGATCCACCCGCCTCGGCCTCCCAAACTGCAGGGATTACAGGCGTGAGCCATTGTGCCTGGCTGCCAAATGTTTCTTAATGACAAATAATCCTTTTAGCCAAGGGTTCAAAACTTCTCGGATTACAGGCCCTTGCCACCACTCCCAGCTAATTTTTGTATTTTTAGTAGAGATGGAGTTTCACCATGTTGGTCAGACTGGTCTTGAACTCCTGACCTCATGATCCACCTGCCTTGGCCTCCCAAGGTGCTGGGATTATAGGCGTGAGCCACCATGCCTGGCCAATTTGCATTTCTCTGAGGATCAGCAATATTGAGCTTTTTCAGTATGCTTGTTGGTTGCATGTATGTCTTCCTTTGGAAAGTGTCTGTTCTTATACTTTGCCCACTTTTTAATGGGGTTGCTTTTTTTCTTGTAAAGTTCTTTAAGTTCTTTATAGATGCTGGATATTAGACCTTTGTCAGATGTATAGATTGCAAAAATTTTCTCCCATTCTGTAGGTTGTCTGTTTATTCTGTTGATAGTTTCTTTTGCTGTACAGAATCACTTAAGTTTACTTAGATCCCAATTGTCCATTTTTGCTTTGGTCCCAATTGCTTTTGGCATATTTGTTATGAAATCTCCCATTCCTATGTCCAGAATGGTATTGCTTAGGTTGTCTTCCAGGGATTTTATACTTTTGGATTTTGTGTTTAAGGTGTTTATCTATCTTGAGTTTATTTCTGTATATGGTCTAAGGAAGAATTCCAGCTTCAATCTTCTGCATGTGGGTAGCCAGATATCCCATCACCATTTATTGAATAAGGAGTCTTTTCTTCATTGCTTGTTTTTTTCAGCTCTGTTGAAGCTCAGATGATCATAAGTGTGTGGCCTTATTTCTGGGCTCTCTATTCTGTTCTGTTTTTCTATGTGACTGTTTTTACCAGTACCATGTTCTTTTGGTTATTGTAGCCCTGTAGTATAGTTTGAAGTCATGTAATGTGATGCCTCCAGATTTGTTTGTTTTGCTTGTGATTGCTTTGGCTATTTGGGCACTTTTTTGGTTTCATATGAATTTTAAGATAGCTTTTTCTAGTTCTATGAAGAATGTCATTGGTGATGTGATAGGAATAGCATTAAATATATAAATTGCTTTGGGTACCATGGGCCATTTTAATAATATTGATTCTTCTTTCCTATTCATGAGCATGGGATGTTTTTCCATTTATTTGTGTCTTTTCTGATTTTTTTATAATCAGTGTTTTGTAGTTTTCCTTGTAGACATCTTTCACTTTCCTGGTTAGCTGTATTCCTAGGTATTTCATCCTTTTTGTGGCAATTGTGGCTAGGATTGCCTTTCCGATTTGGATCCTGGCTTGGCTGTTTTTGATATATAAAAATGCTCATAATTGTTTTTCATTGATTTTGTATCCTGAAACTTTGCTGAAGTTGTTTATCAGCTTAAGGAGCTGTTGGGATGGGACCATGGGTTTTCTAGATGTAGAATCATGTCATCTGCAAACAGAGATAGTGTGACTTCCTCTCTTCCTATGTGATGCTCCTTATTTCTCTATTTTGCTTGATTACTCTGGCTAGGATTTCCAATACTACGTTGAATAAGAGGAGTCATGAGAGAGGATATCCTTTTCTTCTGCCACTTTTAAAGAAGCTTATCAACACAATTAGAAATGATTAAGGGAATGTTATTATTGGCCCCACAGAAATAAAAATAACCATCAAAAACTACTGTGAACACAAACTAGAAACCTAGAAAAGATCAACAAATTTCTGGAGACATACACCCTCCCAAGACTGAACCAGGAAGAAATTAATTCACTGAACAGACAAATACTGAGCTCCAAAACTGAATCAGTAATAAATAGCCTACAAAAAAAAAAAAAAAAAAAAAAAAAAAAAAACAGGACTTGATGGATTCACAGCTGAATTCTACAAGAAACTATTCCAAATATTGAGAAGGAGGGAGTCCTCCCCAGCTCACCCTATGAGGCCAGCATTATCCTGTTACCAAAACCTGGCAGAAACACAATAAAGAAAAGAAAACTTCAAGCCAATATTCTTGATGAACATTGATTAAAAAATTCTCAACAGAATATTAATACTTGCAAAGAGAATCTAGCAGATCATGAAACAGCAAATCCACCATGATCAAGCAGGCTTTATTCTCAGGATGCAAGGTTAGTTCAATATATGCAAATCAATAAATGTGATTCATTACAGAAACAGAACTAAAAACAAAAACCACATAATTATCTCAAAGATGCAGCAAAGGCTTTCAATAAAATTCCACACCCCATCATGTTAAAAACTCTTAATAAACTAGGTAATGAAGGAATATACCTCAAAATAATAGAGCCATCTATGACAAACCCGCAGCCAACACTATACTGAACTGGCAAAAGCTGGCAGCATTTCCCTTGAAAACTGGCCCTAGAATGTTTTTGAAAACTAAGTAGTTTTTAACACAGCTACACATCTGTTCTTTGGCCCCATCACTAAAAATTTAAGTAGCATAAAATCATGTTAAAATGTTGTAAATTGCATTGTTTGTCTATTGTCTAAATTCTTTTGGTGGCATTCTAGCAAAATCGTTTTAGATCATAGCTATTTTTTAACACATATTTTTCAGAAATAAAATCATAATTAAAAGATTTATTATATTTTATTAAAAACTATAAAATATCCATGTATTTAGATGATGAAAAATAAATAGTGTTTAAAACTTGATCTGAAATCATTCTTGTTTGTCAAAAATACCTATAATTCAATCACTGAAGAATAAATAAGTATAGTTTAAAATTTGAAATGTTACTGAATGTCTATGAGATTCTAGGAGGGGGCGAAGTTGATGAAATAATTTGGTAAGATATTTGAAATAAAGCAATGCTATTATTATTTTATTTAATTGGTCTTAATTAATTACCATCAAACATGATCTCTTTTTTAATGTATAGAAAATAATTACTATAGCATCGAAACTCTGCATCTTTTCACTACAACAGATAATCTGTCTTTTCAAACAATTCCTATTTATACACCTTCATACATTCATGATTAACCCCTTCTTACTTCACATTGAGATAGCTTTGTCGTATATCTAAATGTTTTTCCAAATATATCACAGAAACATTCGTCTGAGGAACTGTATGTGTGTGTATGCGTTACAAGAGACGGGTGTGTGATGTGTTCTTGCCACAACTTGTAGCAATATTATCATCACATTTATATTCATTGCTGATGTGCACCAGAGGGAACAGGTTACCTAGGATAATCAGTAAGGCACACCAAAGAGACCAGCTTTCAAACTGTCAACAAATCTCAAAGAACCAAAGGGTATCAAAATATGTGTTCTGTTAATGTGGAGGTCGTTTCCTATAAAATTGAGGGAACTTGATATAGAGGTGGATTTACAGCTAAATATGAACATGAAGGATCAAGGAAGTTACTTCTTTTCCCATTTGCTATTCCCTGTTGACAGACAGCATGGTATTATAGTTGTTATAACAGGTATTATGGAATTTCGAGTTTAGGATTAAAACTAAAATTGGCTTTCGTTCACGACTCTGTAATTATTAACTGTAAGATAATACTGCTCTGATTTCATTTTCCTTATTACAAAAATAGCACATTTTTTGTGTGCTGCAAATCAGCTGATGTATGTGAAATTGCCTAATGAAGAATGCATTAGTTCACTGCTTCTCCAGCATTTTTCTAAATTAATACTTTATAGAGGATAGTAAAGATGTATTGGAATTTGTATCACAAAACGTTTTACCAGGAGTTTGATATTTTTCTACATATTGTATTTTACACTGCAATATCTCTGATCAAGGTGATATTTAAATGAATTTCTATTTCTTGCTTTAGAATAAGTTTCTTTCTGGAATCTGTGATAAACATAAAACTTATTATTTAATTTGCCTACTTTAAACTAGATGCTGTCCTTACTCTCATTTATCCAATGCTAAAACTAACACTAAACAAAAAAACATTTCAAGTTTCACACAGACAATAAGTGGTAGAGGCCCAATTTTGAGAAACATATGTTTTTCTGATTTCAGATATAAACATACAGCATATGGGACTGAAAAAAATATTCTTACAGTTTTTGTAAAAGCATAAAATATAATGAGAATGTTCATATCTACCTGCCAGAAATTTTTACTTCTTTTTGACCCATAAAACTAGTCCTTCAGATTTTGCTTCCACTCACCAGTTATAGTCACCCATTCTTGTATTGCTTCCATCTCAATAATGATGAGGTTAAAATCTCTGAAATTTCTAAAGGAAAATTATGTCTACTAGTAATGTCCTTCTGAGTCCTAGAATTTCATTTGTTCTGATTTGTTGTCTTTACTTTTCTCCAGACATTTTTGCCTCAGTTATATGCCTTGTCAGCCTGCTGATGCTATTAATGTCTGGCTAATGATTCTTTCTTTAAAAACAAAATCTGAGGCTAGGCATGGCGGCTCATGCCTGTAATCCCAGCACTTTGGGAGGCCGAGATGGGTGGATCACCTGCAGTAAGGAGTTTGAGACAGGCCTGGCCAACATGGCAAAACCCCTTCTCTACTAAAAATACAAAAATTAGCCGGTGTGGTGGTGAGTGCCTGTAATCCCAGCTACTTGGGAGGCTGAGGCAGGAGAATTGCTTGAACCCAGGAGGCGGAGGTTGCAGTGAGCTGATATCGCACCACTGCACTCCAGCCTGGACAAGAGCGAAACTCCATCTCAAAAAAAAAAAAAAAGAAAGAAAGAAAGAAAGAAAGGAAAAAAATCTGAGTGCATGTGACTGTCCTACATGCATATGACACAAATCAAATTGGTCTGATGAACATAACATGAAACGTAAAATCTTACTGTTCACCACATCCCATTTTGCTTTCCAGAAATTATTACTGCTATTCTTGTTGTTTATAGTAATGAGAAAAACTTCTGTCTTAGGTAATGTATCTGTCTCTGTTAACAATTAAAGAGTTAACCATAAAATGCATGAAGTGGTATGCTGACAATGCTTATCTATTTTGTTTAAATTTTTTTTCATAGGTTTTTGGGGAACAGGTGGTATTTGGCTATACAAGTAAGTTCTTTAGTGGTGATTTGTGAGATTTTGGTGCACCCATCCACTGAGCTGTATACACTGAATCTATTTTGTAGTCTTTTATTCCTCACCCCCTTTCCACCCTTTCTCCTCGAGTCCCTAAAGTCCATTGTATCATTTTTATGCCTTTGCATCCTATAGCTTAGCTCCCACGTATGAATGAGAACATAGGATGTTAGGTTTTTCATTCCTGAGTCACTTAGCTTATGATAAGAGTCTCCAATCCCATCCAGGTTGCTGTGAATGCCATTAATTAATGTCTTTTTATGTCTGAGTACTATTCCATCTTACATATCTACCACAGTTTCTTTATCCACTCATTGATTGATGGGCATTTGGGCTGGTTCCATATTTTTGCAATTGTGCAATTATTAACTATTTCAAATTGCCATCTCCAATGTCAGCTCTAATCTGTTGTGTCAGAATCCTCCAAATGACAATAAACTTAAAAAATAGAGACATATTTCTGTTTCTCCCTGTCTCTCTTTTACATGAGGGCAATATGCTGATGATAGAGTGGATTTTGCTTGATATGATATATACAGTTTCAAATAACAGTTTGAGAAACAAGGAAAAAGACAAATGCCGATGGCTTAGCAATTAATGTCAAAATATACAAGAAAAAAGTAACCAGGTAAACAAGTTATTAGAGGACCAAGTAAGATGACTGGCCAAAATCTAGACAAATAATCAGAATTCAATTTCTCATTTTAAAAGTATGAACTGATGATTTTCTCTTTATTTAAGTGTGTGTTCTTGAACTATCTTTTCTTTAATGGAGTATCATCTAGTCCCCCTTCTTAAGTTTGTTGATGTGGAAATGCTATAAAGGGAAGGAAAGGGGACAGGAGCAAAGAGACAGCTCAGCAGCATAGCTAGCTGACAAAGTAAAAAGATCAGCCTTGTGTCCCACTGAATTGAGTTTGATATGACAGTGTTATTCTTGTGGGTTTTTTCCTGTCAATAGAGTAGACTATGGAAGGTGATCAAGGTAAATAGGTACAACAGACAAATATATGTTACCCACAGTTTTTCATCTTTATAAGGTACTAAAACATCCTATATGGTGATTACTCTTTTCTCAAGTTCTTTTTATAACGGACATAGTCCATATTTTTTGTTTTGTGTTATATTGTTTCATTTATGTTTGCTCTTTTGGCTCTCTCTTAGGTGAGATTTGGAGAGCAAATGAGAAAAAATAAATTAATTGTCTACTATGTTAATGAAATAACCTGATATCTGATCATTTCCTTGTGTTTTGATCATCTGTCTTGTCTTGTTCTCTATTTTTTTTCTTGTATTTGTAAACTATTTACTTACTTGATGGTGAAGTATTAGAATTACTTTTTGGTGACCATAACACAATTGTAATTCTTTTTTGCTTTTTACTTGACATTTTCTCTTTTAATTGTTTTGCTGATTTTTTGTAAATCCATGTCCATCTTAATGCCAACTCCTCAGTTCTTCCTTGGCCAAAATTGTTAGATATCTTAGATTGTGTTGAGTATTTCCCTTATTTATTCTGATGAAATATCTTGCTGTCAAAACTGTGCTAACACTCATAATCCAAGGGCTAACAAACTGAAGAAAAACAAAACAAAACAAAAAAACCCATAATATTCTGTCAGATGAATATAACTCAATTACTGCTCCAAATTGGTGAAACATAATTTAAAATGCATTTTAATGATTCCTACATTGTAAACATATTTTGAATTAATATATAGTAATTTTCCTGTAACTGAGAAGTTTATGAACTGCCTGGTCACATGATAAACTGTAAAACAAAGTCATTTAATAATTGAAGAAAGTTATTGCAAAGCACGACATGCATGAATCACTTTCTTACAATAATACTTGGAATGTAGCCTGTAGTTAAAGGCACATTCAAATTTATTTTTAAAATCATAAATTGCAGTTACATTAATATACAGCTTCTTAAACTATTTAGTAATGACCTGATCAGGATAAATTAGGTCATTTTCTGGGAACTAATATTATACTGTTCATTGAACACATTACAGATTTTATTGGATTAAATGAAGTAATACCAACACTTTCACCCTTTAATGTATTTATAATTTAAGTGAAATATTCAAATCATACAACATAATTTACTATATATTTTATTTTGCACCCATCCGTATGCCAAGAACTACTCTAGGTAATAGCGGTGATAGAATGATGCATACAACATTGTCTTGACCTCCAGGAAAGGGACAAAAATTGTTGCAGGAGATAAACACACATAAGTGACTACAATGTAGCAGGCTGTGATAGCGCAATAGACTCCAGTATGAAAAAATAATTTTTTGGGTAAAACATAGAGCAAGCAAAGAAAGAAAATATGTTTTATCCTGACATTAGGCTGAAACTGTGCCCAGTAACCAAAGAAACTGCAGAGTCTGACTCTAGAAATGCAACCCAGGGAATATCTAAGGAACATGTAATAGTTAGCACTCTTCTGAATAAAAGTAACAGAAAGTAAGCTAGGCTAGCCTAGGTTTAAATAGGAATTTGTTGTAACATACTGGAATATCTCACAGAACCCAACAACAGAAATCCTACTAGGTCTCAACAACCAGTTGGAATTAGGGATTCTTATGTCAACAAGTCTCTTGTTCCCTCTGGTCTCTGCTTACCTTTGTAAGAATGCTAATTGAATGTATTATCTTTGCAAAAATTGGCCTTTTCCTTTGTGTTTCACCTGGCTGGGCCTGTATATTGATGGACTGTTATTTTTAAATGTTAGAATTTCAACTACCATTAGAAGTACAGGTCTTACTTTCTAGTTCTGTTTTCTAACATTTCTAGGAAAAGACTGATTGGCACAACTTGCCCGATTCTGTGAACTGGTGAGCAGTTGTAGATTTTGCTCCATTAGCAATATGAGAAACAGCTGCAGTCAAGTAGGTGGTATGAAGAGGACATTTTCTAGAATTTAAATGCTTGAGGGATTCTATACATGTACTTTAGAAGATTAATAAGTCTGCTTAATAATTCTTAAAATGGTTAGCTCTGAGGTTTCTATTTGAGGGATTACTTAGGAGTCAGTTATTATCAGAATTCATAAATCTGAATATAAATAGCTAACAACTATCACGAAGTTATGGAGCTAAGCCTAAACTCCAGTGATAAGACCTGGCAAAAATAAATAAACACAGCAGGACCCAAGCCACTGCATAATTTTCAGAGCCACCTTTCAATTGGAGAGGAAAAAGGAACCTAACAAAGTAATTGAAAATAATTTTCTAAATGTGGAAAGAGACAATGCCTTGAACACTGATATAGTTTGAATATTTGTCCCTTCCCAATTTCATATTGCATTGTACTCTCCAATGCTAGAGGTGGGGCTTGGTGGGAGGTGCTTTGATCATGTGGGTGGATCCCTCATGGCTTGGTAATTGTCTTCATGATAGTGAGTTCTAGTGAGATCCGGTAATTTAAAAGTATGTGGCATCTCCTACTCCCCATACTCTTTCACTTGCTCCTGCTTTTGCCATGTGATAGGCCTGTTCCCCCTTCTTCATCCACCATGATTGTAAGCTTCCTGAGGCCTACTTAGAAGTCAAGCAGATGCTAGCACACTGCTTTCTGTATAGTCTGCAAAATCATCAGCCAATTAAACCTCTTTTCTTTAATTACCCATTCTCAGGTATTTCTTTAGAGCAATGCGAGAATGGCGTAATACAAATACCATATAAAATTGTAAAAATTTCCTCCTATTTATTGGACTTTGATTCTTCATGGCACAATTCTTTTTGAATAAGACAGCAGAGTATTTATAAATAGAAGCTCTGTATGTTCTATATCTTGTCTTCTACGATTAGAAATAATCACCTTGGAGGTGATATTTAAGCTCTTTAGTCTTTAATTTTTCACCTGTAAAACTGAGAATAAATTAGGTCATTCATGAAAATCAGTTGGCACAATGCATGCCATAAAGTAATTGCTCAATAAATATTAATTGCTGCCAGTGTAACACCCAGATTTCTATTTGAGGCAAGTCATTATTTTCCATTCTCTCCCTGGATATATAACAGATTTGAATATCTTTCATATGCTTATAATTTGCAAGTCTGTAATTCAAACCATACCTTCCTATTACTCCCTACTAGATGTGTAGTGCAGACATCAGCATCTACACATTACAATATTTGTATTTCTAGAAGGAAGAATTGTAATCCAATAGAGAGGAGGAGTTAAGCCATTCACTAACTCAAATTTTACTGGTATAATATGTTATGTAATTCATTCTCCATCCATTTATTCTTTCATCCATTTAACAATTACTGATTTAGAAAATGCATTTGTCTGCTGCTGATTTAATAAATGACGGATATAATACTAAGCACCACAGATATAATTCCTGCCTTTATGGCACTTAAACTGTTTATGAACAACAGCATACAATCAGAACATTCGTTAAGTGTAACATGTAACAGACTGTTTAGAAGGACTTCAGTTCTTCCAATATTGAAGCTAATGTATAGAAATAGGATTTATAATTTCAAATCAACACATTTTAGTTCACACAACTGCTAATGACCAGTAGTCATGTGGAATGATTCCAGAACAAAATACCTTAAATATTCTAAGAGAAGTAATGAAAGGAGATAAATATGATTTCTTCTACTGTATCAAGTGGAAGGTTCTCCTAGGGAAACACTCATGCTTATGGGCGGTGCTTGCAAGGCAAGTGAGTGATATAACATTCACCAGATGCACGTTTATTCAACTACAAAACCTACTCTTCTGCTGTAATCACCACTATAGAGTTTGGTGAGAGTGTTCTTGAGAGAGTTTTCTCTCAGTCTAAGGTGATGGGATAATAAGCTTGTGACTTCCTTTTCCACACGACTGTTTAAAAAGAGTAGATGCTTGAATGTGTCCCATTAAGTTTGCAGCTACACTTTATCACAGATTTTGTAGCCAACACTGGTTATGAAGACATCTACAAGTAAAAGTGATATAGTTTGGATGTTTGTCCCCTTTAAATCTCATGATGGAAATATAATTCCCACTGTTGGAGGTGGGACCCTGCGGAAGATGTTTGTGTCTTAAGGCAGATCCCTCACAAATGGCTTAGTGCTGTCCTTGCCATAGTGAATGAGTTCTCAGGAGAGCTGGTTGTTTAAAAGTGTGTGAAACCTCCCCTGTACTCTTGCTGCCACTCTGATCAGGTGATGTGCCTGCTTTCATTCACCTTCTGCCATGATTGTAAGCTTCCTTAGGCTTCACCAGAAGCAGATGCCAGTACCATGCTTCTCGTACATCCTGCAAAATCATAATCAAATTAAACTTCTTTTCTCTTTTATAAATTACTCAGTCTCAGGTATTCCATTGTAGTAACACAAATAGACTAACACAAAGGAGGTTTTTGGGGTCACTATTACCGAAAGGGTTTGACGGGCCCCTGAGGTGATGTACCTTAAAAACACTGTTACATCATTCCACACCACAAATCATGGTCCTTAAGAGAGCGCCTTTCAAAACTCTTTATGTTCCCATAGCTCTAGTGATTGAGCAAGTAAATTAGCAGGATTTGAGCCATGAGGAATACCCAGGCAAAGTGAAAGGAAGCAAATGGATTATTGCAAAAATTGAGATAAGAGATGATTAGGGCATGGTTAGAGTAGCAGCAATTGGCGTGAAAAAAATTAGTGGACTTGAGATGTATTTTGGAGCTGTAACCAGAATTTGCTGGTGGGCTGGATGAATACAGGGAGAATACAACAAGCATGACTACGGAGTTTTTGGCTCAAACAGCTGATAAGACAGTGGTGTTAATTTTAGAACAAGGAGCATTGGCCGATTAATAAACCTGGGTAGAGGAGTCATTTGTTCCATTAAGTTCTTGTTAAATTTTAAGAAGTAGATAAATAAATCTAAAACAGGCAGTTAATAGAGTTTTGGGGTCTAGAGGGCAAGTAGAATATTTGAACTTCAAGAGGAAACAGGATAATTCTTCCATTTAACAGGAGAAAAGACTAAGATCATAGTTCAGGCACAGGATAGCTTTGAGATTTGGGGGTAAGAATTTGAGCTCCTCCTTGAATACTTTTATTTTCTCAATCTTGACATGAGACCCGTGGCTGAGTAAGAAGACGTACAGGAGTTAAATATTAAGGAAAAAGGTTAAAAGTGTAAATTATTCTCAAGAGTGAAAAGTGGTTATACGGGGGGACATGTTAGATTTCCAAGCAATATCAAGTTTCTGTGAAGTCTATGGTCATGAATTTTAAGTGAAACCACTGTGGAACAAAATCAAACTTTGCCTTGGGTTTGGTTCTGCTCTGTCAGAGACAATTTTATTATGATTTTTTAATGCAGCCATGTGAAAGTGTAAGGCAAAATAGCCCCTGATGAGAACCTATACTACAATGATGAGCTAATATACAGATTAAGTGAGCAAATTTCCATACTAAATATTTCATACGTAAGTGAAAAAAATACAATTTCTGATGGCAAACAATGATTACTAATTTTATGGTCACAAAAATACCTCATAGTTAAAAGTTATATTCCGAGCATACTAAACATGAGTTTTATACTTAAATTTCTGCTTTGGAAACCTGAATTATAAACTTTAATTTATTTGATTTAATTATGGAAATATAAGTTACAACTCTATTAGATGAAGAGCCTTGAGAGAAATATAATGTTGTTGGCATAATTATTGTGGTACAGTTATGCAATTGTTCTTCTCAGCAAGTTAAGGAAGAGCAAGTTGGAAAATGTTTATATTTAAGTGATATTATAAAATGATTTTCAGGGCAGCCTAAACTGTTTTTTAAGCTGAATGCATGCTCTGTTTCTTGGATTGTGTTAATGTCAACTTGGTTAAGATGGAAACTGGATTTCCCAGACCCTCTATCCCTCCAGCATTCCAAATTAGAAATATTCTAAAAAGGATCTTGTATGAGATTTGGAGGATAAAAGTGAAGCTGTAGTAATTATTCTCTGAAAGCCATAATGTTCACATATGGTGGCAGATATAGACAAGAGCCCCAGCTACTATCTGTTTTGCATCCAGTTTGTCTTCCCAGCTGCTGGCCCTGTTGACCAATAGAAGCCTTGAATGATTTTAAGTGCTTGGCTGAGAAGCTACACAGGTGTTAAATACATAGACGCACTTAGGATAGCTTGTTAGCTTCTTCAACCAATTTAATGATGATACATCTAACTTTTCACTAACCTTTTTTCCAACTCACTATCATCACTCCTTCTAATCTTAACAGATTGACTATTGCTTCTCATAACCATAGCGAGCCAATATCACCTCTCCAAAGAGTCATTCCCATTAAAAAAAAAACTTTACATCTCAATACTAATTTCCCTACAAATATTATAAATTATAACATTTCCTGCCACAGAATTATCATATTTTATATCCTCTTTGAAGCCACACTAGTCCCCACCCTAGTTATTATTACCTGCCGAGGCAATCAAACAGAATGCCTTAACACAGGACTACACTTTTTATGCTATATGCTGGTTGGATCTCTATCCTTACCCATAGTATTCATTTATACCCTAACTTCCCTAGGCTCCCTAAATATACTAATTACATCATATAGTGCTCAAGAAATAATAACTTCCTAATCCAATAGTCTTTTATGACTATGATACTCCACAGCATTTATAGTAAAAATATACCTCTATGGACTCCATCTATGACTGCCAAAAGCCCACATACAGGCCCCCATTGCTGGGTCAATAGTCCTCCCAGCAGTACTCCTAAAATTAGGTGGCTATGGAATAATGCAAGTCAACTTAATCCTTAAACCCCTAAGAGAATTTATATCATACCCCTTCTTCATACTATCCGTATGAGGAATAATTATAACGAGCTTCATCTGCCTGCACCAAACTGATCTAAAGTCACTCATTGCCTACTCCTCTGAAAGCCTCATAGCACTTGTTATCATAGCCATCCTCATCCAAACCTCCTGAAGTTGTGTAGGCGTAATGGCCCTAATAATTGCCCATTGACTCACCTCATCCATATTATTCTGCGTTGCAAACTCAAACTATGAACGAGTCCATAGCCAAACCATACTGCTAGCCTGGGGCCTTCAAAAACTCCTCCCACCACATGATGATAATAGCCACATGACGACTCTCCAACTTCGCCCAACCTCAAACCTCAACAACCTCCAATTTAACTCACTTTTCCCTACCCCCATCATTAATCTAGTAGGAGAAATTTTCATAACCATAGCCTCATTCTCTTGATCTAACCTTACCATTATGTTTATAGAATGTAATATATTACTCACAGCCCTTTATTCTCTGTATATATTAATTATTACACAATGAAGAGTATTCACATATCACGCTGATAATATTAAATCATCCCCATGTGAGAAAATACCCTAATATGTAAACATTTTCTACCCCTTCTCCTATTATCACTAAACCCTAAGGTAATTTTGGGGTTCATATAATGTAGCTGTAGTTTAATTAAAACATTCGACTATGGATCTAATAATAGAAGTCTATAACTTCTTACTTACCAAGAAAGTATGAAAGGACTGCTAATTCATGCTCCCATATTTAACAATAAGGCTTTCTTAATTTTTAAAGGATAAGACTTATCTGTTGGTCTTAGGAACCCAAAACATTTGTGCAACTCCAAATAAAAGTAATAAAT